>NT_187629.1:0-259914 GCF_000001405.40 Homo sapiens
CAATAAGTCATATGATCAATGCAATTCAAACATTAAACTCATCAGTCCCAAGTCCCATAATAGACTTTGATGGAGAAATTCTTGAAGAAAGAATGATGGGTTTGTGAGCTCTGTGTCCACAGAAGAGATATTTCTGCACTAGGAGGACTGGGTAAAGCCATTAAATAATTATGAATGTAGTGCCCATCTGGACTTTTTTCTAATCCAATATGCAATGCTGTGGGCTCTGCCTTTGCAAATCGTAGCATTCATTGTACTTCCTCCAGTCTCCCAATTATTACAATAAATTAATTTTAAACATGAATGATTAAAAGACAAATCTATTAATGTTAGAGTCCTTGGAATCTGTTGCTTTAATGCACAAGAATTATGGAACACTTCAAATGTATATATTTGTTAATTTATGTACCAATGATAAAATACTGCTTCCTTGATCTGTTCTAAAAATCACCTAGAAAGGGAGTAAGTTGATGGGTAAAATGGGTTGAAAAATTAAACAAGATGAACCACATTGATGATGGTCAAAGTTGGCTGATTGGTGCAAACAATTCATCAGAAAATTCTCTGTATATTTGTATGACTCAAACGTTTCCATGCTAACCAGTGAAAATATCCTTTTTTGCAATGAGATGTTTATGTTCTGCTTTTACCAGGTGTACCATGTGGACAAAATGTAAGCTTACACTTTGACTTCAAGTGGAAGCCCATCTTCTCCCAACAGGCAGAGGAGAAGCTGGTGTGGAGAACATGGAAAACACAGGAGCTCAGGGTTTCCCAGGACAGAGAAGTGAGTGAGCCTGGAGCCCTAAAAGCAAGGGCAGGGGCTGTGAGTTGGGCTGTGGGGGTGTTCTGGGGCCACAATGTGAAGGGCATGTTGCTGAGGTCTCAGGGTTCAGGTTTCATAATAACAATGAGGAGTTACTCAAGGGGCTTAAACCAGGGAGTGCCCTGCCTGCCCTATCTGAGTGACAGGGATCTCTCTGAATGCCTTGAGAAGAGAGTGTCTGAGAAAAGTGAGTGATCCTGATTCTAGATTATTCGCTAAAGCACCTCGTGAGTCTAGAAACTCAGGGGCCATTTGCACAGTTAGCACAAGAGTAGATGTGGCTAAATTGAGAAGTGATGGTCTCTGCTTTTGTCTCCTGAGACATCCAACTCATTTGCAAGAGAATTTTGCAGGTAAAATACATACTGATCTTTCTAATAAACTGAAAACACCTAGTAAAAAAATACACGTGGTAATAGCACAATGCAATTTGTATAACAGCTAGAACAAATTCTTGACCAAAAAATATGATGCAACTGTGCAGAAAATGACGTTTTACTTAGGGAGATAATGGCTAATTTCATAAAATAGTGAAATATGTCACACTGTTCACTGGTAAAGGTAAGTCTAGCAAATCTATTAGTTTTCCTGTATCACAAAATCGAATCAAATCTCTTTAAAACGTATGAAACCATTGTAAATATAACTTGTGTTGCATTGCTGTCTTTTTTTTTTTTTTTTTTTTTTTAGACAGAATCTCGCTTTGTCGCCCAGGCTGGGGTGCAGTGGCCCAATATCAGCTCACTGCAAGCTCCACCTCCCGGGTTCCCGGGTTCACGCCATTCTCCTGCATCAGCCTCCCGAGTAGCTGGGACTACAGGCGCCTGCCACCACGCCCAGCTAATATGTTGTATTTTTAGTAGAGACGGGGTTTCACCGCGTTAGCCAGGATGGTCTTGATCTACTGACCTCGTGATCCGCCCGCCTTGGCTTCCCAAAGGAATTGCTGCCTTTAACATGTCATTGATCCTTTATTTTTCCTGGAAATTTTTCATTATTCACCATCTTTTTGAACAACCCCAGCTGCCCTTCAACCCAGCTCCTCAGCTGACCCCTTTTCCATGATGCCCACTCTGATGACATATGTGGGCAAATAGATTTTTCTAAAATGCCCTGTTGGGGTGCTGACACCTATAAAAGTTATGTATGTACAGGTCTGCACATCCCACAGACCAAGACTACTTCTGGGAGTGAGAAATCGTAGTAATAATGCATAGCATGATAGAAGCAGTGTCTGGGAATCAGACCATGGATATGTGAATACAGACAGTGACTAAAGAGCTGCAGAGACCAGCTGGGTTCTGAAGTCTCTGAGCTTTGGGAAAGTGTGTTTCCTGGGACCAGCGTCAGATGTTGTGGGGCTGCCCTGTGGTTCCGACACAGCTGCTCAGTAATGAGCATTCACTCAGAGAAATCCAGGCCTTGAGGCTGGGCCCTGTGCTCACTGATGGACACTCGGCAGCTGTGTCCCCTCTGGCCTGGCAGAGTTCCCTGAGCAGGGACCTGTGTATGGTCTCAACAGGTGCTTCCTCCCAGGGCCTTGCAAAAAGAAAAGCAAACCTTCCTCCTGCTCAGTCTGCAGAGAGAGCTGAGCTGCATCCCCAGGTCTCAAGGAGGGGCCCGGCAGTCCCTGGGTGGAAACACATTTGCATGAGCAACCCCTCCTCTGCAACAGTGGGAAGAAAAGGAGGCCTGGGGCAGCCCAGTCCCACTGCGGGGGTAAGAGGTTGTGTCCACCATGGCCTGGACTCCTCTCCTCCTCCTGTTCCTCTCTCACTGCACAGGTAGGAATAGACTTCAGAGACCAGGGTCAGCCACCCAGCCTGATTCTGACTCTTCTGGCAAAGATCCCTGAAAAACTTTACCCTGGTTTCTGCCTTAGCACCCATTAATGTCTGTGTTTCCAGGTTCCCTCTCGCAGGCTGTGCTGACTCAGCCGTCTTCCCTCTCTGCATCTCCTGGAGCATCAGCCAGTCTCACCTGCACCTTGCGCAGTGGCATCAATGTTGGTACCTACAGGATATACTGGTACCAGCAGAAGCCAGGGAGTCCTCCCCAGTATCTCCTGAGGTACAAATCAGACTCAGATAAGCAGCAGGGCTCTGGAGTCCCCAGCCGCTTCTCTGGATCCAAAGATGCTTCGGCCAATGCAGGGATTTTACTCATCTCTGGGCTCCAGTCTGAGGATGAGGCTGACTATTACTGTATGATTTGGCACAGCAGCGCTTCTCACAGTGACACACACAGATGGGGAAGTGGGACAAAAACCTCACCCTGCTCTGGGTCTTGCTCTGTACCAATTTTTAAATTTTAAAATAACTGGCCTAGGCACAAACTATATTTGGAAGTACTTTCTAGTTGTAAAAGGCTCTTCTCTCAATTTTCTATCCATTTTTCTGAAGTCTCAGTAAAACAAAACAAAACAAAACAAAACCACCTGATGACCCTGAAGTGTTGGCTGGTTGTCCACATGTGCTAACACCAGTGCCTGTGGAGCTGGACGTTTTTTTCTTGAAAGAAGCAAAATGAGGCTTTCCTAGCTCACATCATGGTCAGAGCCTGGGGACAACATAGCAGGTGAACAGTGCCCTGCAGCATGGACTCTGCTCTTCCAGCGTACGGGCAGAGACCTCCCCTTCCATCCCCAGTAGTCTGTTCTCAGGGCTGTCTGAGGCTCACTGTGTCCCAGGAACAAGGCACTCAAATATGAAATGCTGCCTGAGGACTCAGGTCAGGGAATTCTGGATATAGTGCTGACCTGGCTCAGTCCTGGGTACCTGCATTTCAGTGGCAATGTCAGGAGATGGCGTTAGATATTAGGGTAACTGCGGGCCCGATGCCAGTAAACCTCTATGTAGGACATGACAGAATCAAGGGGAGGCTCCACCATGGCTGAGACAAGCCAGAGGCTGCTCCTTGGCCATGGGGGAAGTAGATCCCATGGATGTGACTCCTGTAGCTCATCCCACTCAGGACCACGGGGACTGCTGAGGGTGGGTTTCCTGATCCCTCAGGGCCTGACTGTGTTCTCTTCTCCTCTCTTACACCATTGGAGCTTCTCACTGACTCAGGTCTAGTGGTGAGTCTGTGGAATATCTGGATACAGAAACTGCCCAATATTTGCTTCAAGTGACTCCTCCCTGGGAAACTCTTGAGGAGGCCCCCACCTCAAGGTCATCTTTTTCTCCATGGGGAGCAGCAGAAACATTGGCCATTCCCATGGAAATGGCTATGAGGCCTCCCAGAGAGAACCCCTAAGTTTATGACCTAGGACAATAGTGATGGTCCCTCAGGGGTCCCAGCCTGCTTCTCCTGATCTGGGTTTATCCACACAGCCTCCTGGAGTGCCTCTGGGCTCCAGCCTGAGGACCTGGCTGGTTATCAGTGTCACACAGCTGCATCCTGACTCCATGTTACCAAGGGTTCCTGTTCCATGTGGAAATGATAGAAAGATCTCCCCACTCATCCTGTCTCCCCATCCCTCCTTTATCCCTGCCTGTGACCAACACCAGTTCATGCCAAGACTTCAGCTGTCAGTTGTGTTACTGAAAGCAGAGCAAGGGTTCAGGGACGATAACTCCTTTTCTTACTGGTCTCCCCAGTGGAAAGAGAATCAGTTTGTTTCAAGAAGTAAAATAAGCTGCCCACACATGGTGGGTGAGGATGAGGTGGAAATGACAAGAAAGAATCCAGCCTGGCTGGGCATGGCAGCTCACACCTGTAATCCTAGCAGTTTGGGAGGCGGAGGTGGGTGGATCACCTGAGGTCAGGAGTTTGAGACCAGCGTGAGCAACATGGTGAAACATCGTCTCTACTAAAAATACAAAAATTAGTTGGGCATGGTGGCTGGCGCCTGTAATCCCAGCTACTCGAGAGACTGAGGCAGGAGAATCGCTTGAACCAGGGAGGTGGAGGTTGCATTGAGCTGAGATCATGACACTGCACTCCAGCCTGGGCAACAGGCAGAGACTCCATCTCAAAAAAAAAAAAAAAAAAAAAAAAGAAAGAAAGAAAGAAAAGAAAAAAGGAAAAGAAAGAATCTAGGCAGTGTGACCCAGAAGTCCAGGAGCCTTCGGCCTGGTCCCACAGGTGTCCCCTCCTTTTTGAACAGGTATGCTGGCCATTTGCTGAGCTCTGAAACTGTGGGAGTGATAACAAGAAAGGCGAATCCAGCCTGTGTGACCCACAGATGTGAGAGAGGTAGTCTGATGCTTAAGAAAAGGTGGGATCAGCCTTCTGAAAGGTCTGGATCTGGCTTGGCCTAGAGCTGGTGTAGAAGAGAAGCAAGAGAGATGCTTAGCCTTGGGTGGCCCAGGCCCAGCTGTCCTGTCAAGGGGCTGAGCTCTCTGCAACATGGAAATCCTGCAGAGCCATCCTTGGGAGGCTGTGATCTCAGTAGGATGCAAAAATGCTAATGGAAGTGAGCAGGGGATGGTTTATGGGGGAATGAGGGGACGGTGTGGGGTCAGGTGTGGTAAGGAGGGTGCACCCTGAAGAGGAGAGTGTCCATTGTGACTCACAGGAGGAGGAGGCCCGGGGCCCAGAGCAGTGACAAAAGGAGGACCTGGAAGGACCTGGGCCCTCAAGACACACAGAGACTGGGGTTTTGGTCTGTCCCTGAGGGTCCCTCAGGAGGATCACATAAAAAATCCATAGTCAGTGTCCTCTGTCCAAGGCTCACTGTCCCAGCTGTTGTCCCTCCCGGATCCTCTGGGTGTCCACATCCTGTAGTTTTGGACCTGTTCTTCTCTCTGCCCTCAACCTAACAGCTGATGGGGCATCCACCAGGAAGCGCATCCGTGGGCAGGGAGGAGGCCGTGGGCAGCCTTGTCCTGTATGTGAGACACTGCTCAGACTCGGTGACCCCCTGTTCATTAACGTGGGAGGAAAGGAAAACAAAATTCACTGTGAACATCTATACATCATCAAAGAAAAAGCAATGAGAAAAAACAGGAAGTGAAGCCCAGCTCTAATAGTTTATTTCTACTTGGAAATAAATAAAACTTAATATGCCTGATGTGTTATGTAAATACAACAAACATATTTTAAAAACTATAAAAATTATGTAAAGGCACATGGCTTACACTAAAAGAAACATTTAAAATAACAACACCCTTGAAATGCAATCCCAAAACACAGCATACATTTTATTTCAGTTCCATGTATGGACTGGTTTTATTTAAATGTCTGTATTAGGTTTCACTATTTGGTTGTTTAAATGGAGCATTTAAAATCTTATTGTATTACAACTTATATCAACATAATCATCTTGCTGTTTTTCTGTATCCCCTTAAAATTCCCTAAACAAATATTTATTAAGAGCCCAGGGTGTATCATGCCAGAACTCAGGCAGTCACAGACATAACCTGTTTCATTTTTCATTTTGATCAACAGAATTATGTTTTCTGTTAAGCTTGTTGTTTTTAGTTCATTAGATTCTAGACGTCATTACAGATCAAAGACGAAAAATTTCTATCATCTTTAAGCCACCCCCACAACACTCACTACTGAATTTGAACCAAAATCTTCTCCTAGAAATCCTCGTTGGCGGCTCGATAGTAAGAGCTGCCATGTATCAGGCTCACCTGAGGACAGACGCTGGTTAAACCAAGTTGAAGTTTTAATTCTTCCCATCTTCAAAGACTGAGCATCTTTGCTCTTTTTGCTCATAAGTGAAACACTCCAAAGTCATTTGCCAGGATCCCCTGTAGATGGGCATTCAGTGTACAGACTCCTAGGCAAGATCCCTGGTCACAGTATCCAAATGACTTTGACTGCAAACCTGGGGAAGTAGAGAGAGAACAAAGATTTACCAGAAAAACCCTCTGGGAATGTCTTCCCAAGGCACCCTAGAGGGAAGAGCTCCCTTTCTCTTCAGCTCCACAGGATCCACAGAGGAAGGAGAGCTCTAGCCAGCAGGAAGGAGCCACATGAGAGGAGAGGACCAGGTGTCCCACACAGGTGGGGAAGTGAGTCCATGGGGCTGGTCCCCGCTCTGGGCTTGATCCTGACATAAGAGGACTCTGTGTAGACACCACCTGAGTCCTCTGCAATGTACAGCCACAGAGCCATGGACAGATTCACTCCTGAGGAGTCCAGTAGAGCGCGAAGACTGCTTTGAGGTCACAGCGGGAAGACACAGGTGTCACTTGAGCTGGCCTGGACCTGAGAGAGGGGGCAGTGGACAGAACAGAGGGGAGGCAGTGGTGTGAATGAGAGGCTCTGGTCACCTTATCATAGAATGGTTTACCTTGGCTGGACACCAGGGGACGCTGGGGGACCATTTCTGAGAAGACGCGCGGGGGGCGGGGGTGGGCGGTGATGGGAGCACAACCGGCCACCTGTTGTGCCTGTTGTCCTCTGCTCAGGGCTCACAACTGTGTTCTCCCCACCCTCTGGGACCACAGAGCTCCACCCCTGCCACACCCTGACATCCTCAAGGCAAGGAGCCTGACCCAGGGCTCAGGGTGGGGTCACAAAGCTGGGGGGGTCTGATTTGCATGGATGGACTCTCCCCCTCTCAGAGTATGAAGAGAGGGAGAGATCTGGGGGAAGCTCAGCTTCAGCTGTGGGTAGAGAAGACAGGACTCAGGACAATCTCCAGCATGGCCAGCTTCCCTCTCCTCCTCACCCTCCTCACTCACTGTGCAGGTGACAGGATGGGGACCAAGAAAGGGGCCCTGGGAAGCCCATGGGGCCCTGCTTTCTCCTCTTGTCTCCTTTTGTCTCTTGTCAATCACCATGTCTGTGTCTCTCTCACTTCCAGGGTCCTGGGCCCAGTCTGTGCTGACTCAGCCACCCTCAGCGTCTGGGACCCCCGGGCAGAGGGTCACCATCTCTTGTTCTGGAAGCAGCTCCAACATCGGAAGTAATACTGTAAACTGGTACCAGCAGCTCCCAGGAACGGCCCCCAAACTCCTCATCTATAGTAATAATCAGCGGCCCTCAGGGGTCCCTGACCGATTCTCTGGCTCCAAGTCTGGCACCTCAGCCTCCCTGGCCATCAGTGGGCTCCAGTCTGAGGATGAGGCTGATTATTACTGTGCAGCATGGGATGACAGCCTGAATGGTCCCACAGTGCTCCAGGCCAATGGGGAACTGAGACAAGAACCCCCTTCCTCCTCTGTCAGGAGGGTGAGCCCCAGCAGCTGCTGCTCAAGCCTGGCCTGTGGCTTCTGCTGCTGCAGCTTCCTTCATGGGTCCAGGGGCATCCAGGGCCCTGCCTGAGAGTGGAGGCTCCTCCTCCCCTTCAGTCCTCAGAGTCAGGAACAGGACATCCAGGAAACAGAACATCCTCCTCCCTGCAGCTTAGGACACAGGGTCTCTGCACTGAAGTCCTGGGCTGAGGTGGCAGGTCCAGTTGTGTCATCTCAGACCCACCTCTGATGGGGAACCCGTGTCTCCGTCATCCTCCTTTTCCCATTTCCAGGAGTTTCCAGAGTGGTGTCTTCCTCCCCCTGCTCCTCAGTGTGAATCCCTGTGCTTCCTTTCTCTCCAGCCTATTCTTTTTTAATAAAACTCCTTTCATGTAGGAACTATGCACATCTAATAAACTACCCATATTTATAACAGGAAATTAGACAAATTTTGGCATTTTTCTGGTTCCTTGAAAACATCACCATCCCCGGGAGCTATTGTGACCATCCCGGCAGCTCCTCATGATGCTTGTCTCCTCCCTCCCTCCCCTAATGGCCTCTCAGGAAGCCACAGATCTGCCTCTCTCACTACTGTTTGGTTTTTTTTTCTGGAATGTATCAGTGTTATCAAACGTTATCTTCCCATTTGTTCAGGCTTCTTTCACTCTGCACACTTGCTTTGAGATTATCCCTGCTGTCGCTGAATTGCACCCATCCCTTAGAGGGCTCATTACTATCTTTAAGGGTCCTTAGGCCATTTTTTTCTGATTTTATTCATGTATTTCCTTTAAAGTTTGAATTTATTGTTCATCAAACAAACTCTATGGGTGATGTTCATCTAAGGTGACAGGACAGTCCGTGATGGTTTGTCAGGATTCTTGCTTCTTCAGTTCTTTTCTTGGCTCTCTCTATAGTGGAAGAGGTTCTCATCTTTTATTTATTTATTTATTTATTTTGGGGTTTTTTTAAGGGTTTTAGCGATTTTCCCTTTTTAATTATTTTTAAAATTTGTTATTTTATTTTAATAGGTTTTTGGAGAACAAGTGTTGCTTGGTTACATATATAAGTTCGTTAGTGGTGATTCCTGAGATTGTGGTGCACTCATCATCCAAGCAGTGTACACTGTATCCAATGAGTAGCCTCTCATCCCTCACCTCCCTCCTATGCTTTCCCCCGAGTCCCCAAAGTCCATTGTATCATTGTTATGCCCTTGGGTTCTCATAGCTTATCTCCCACTTATGAGTGAGAACATACAGTGTTTTGTTTTCCATTCCTGAGTTACACCAGTTAGAATGATAGTCTCCAGTTCCATCCAGGTTGCTGTGAATGCCATTATTTTGTTTATTTTTATGGCTGTGTAGTATTCCCTGGTATGTGTATGTATACATCACATTTGCTTTACCTACTTGTTGATTTATGGACATTTGAGCTGGTTCCATGTTTTTGCAATTACAGATTGTGCTGCTATAAACATGCGTGTGCAAGTATCTTTTTTTGTATAATGACTTCTTTTTCTCTGGGTAGATACCTAGTCGTGAGATTGCTGGATCAAAGGGTACGTCTATTTTTGTTTCCTTAAGGAATCTCCACACTGTTTTCCACAGTGATTGTACTAGTTTACCTTCCCACCGCCAGTGTGAAAGTGTTTTGTTTTCACCACATCCATGCCAACATCTGTTATTTTTTTATTATAGCTATTCTTGTGATAGGAAGGTGGTAACACAGATTGTGGTACCGATTTGCATTTCCCTGATTATTAGTGATGTTGAACATTTTTCTATATGTTTGTTGGCCATTTGTACAAGTTCTTTTGAAAATTGTTTATTCGTGTCCTTAGTCCACCTTTTGATGGAAGTGTTTATTTTTTTCTTGATAATTTGAGTTCTTCGTACATTCTAGATATTAGTCATTTGTTGGATGTATAGATTGTGAAGATTTTCATCCACTTTGTTGGTTGTCTGTTAACTCTGCTGATTCTTTCTTTTGCTGTGCAGAAGTTTTTTTCGTTTAATTAAGTCCCATCTATTTATCTTTGTTCTTGTTGCATTTGCTTTTGTGTTCTTGGTCATGAAATATTTGCCTAAACCAATGTCTAGCAAGGTTGTTCTGACGTTATCTTCTAGAATTCTTACCGTTTCAGGCCTTAGATTTAATTATTTGATTCATCTTGAGTTGATTTTTGTATAAGGTGAGAGATGAGGATGCAGTTTCATTCCTCTACATTTGGCTTGCCAATTATCCCAGCACCATTTGTTGAATATGGTGTCATTTTTCTACTTTATGTTTTTGTTTGCTTTGTCAAGCATCAGTGGGTTGGAAGTATTTGGTTTCATTTCTGGATTCTTTATTCTGTTCCTTTGGTCTGTGTGCCCATTTTTATATCAGTACCAAGCAGATTTAGTGACTATGGAGTCAAACTTTACTGGAGTTTGAAGCTGGGTAATGCGATGCCTCCAGATTTGTTCCTTTTGCTTAGTCTTGCTTTGTCTATGCAGGCTCTTTTTGGTTCCATATGAATTTTAGGATTATTTTTTCCAATTCTCTAATGAATGATGGTGATATTTTGATGGGAATTGCATAGATTTTGTAACTTGCTTTTGGCAGTATGATCATTTTCAATGTATTGTTTCTACCCATTCATGAGCATGGGATGTGTTTCTATTTGTTTGTGTGTGTCATCTATGATTTCTTTCAGCAGTGTTTTGTAGTTTTCCTTGTGGAGGTCTTTCACCTCCTTGGCTAGGTATATCCTAAGTATGTATTTTGCAGCTATTTGCGAAAGGGGTTGAGTTCTTGATTTGATTTTCAGCTCGTTTGCTGTCATTGTATAACAGAGCTACTGATTCGTGTGCCTTAATTTTGTATCTTGAAACTTTGCTGAACTTATTTACAGTTCTAGGAGCTTTTTCGATGAGTCTTTAAGGTTTTCTAGGTATATGATCATATTATCAGCAAATAGTGACAGTTTGAATTCCTCTTTGTCAATTTGGATATCTTTGATTTGTTTCTCTTGTCTGATTGCTCTGGCTAAGCCTTCCAGTACTATGTTGAATAGAAGTGGTGAAAGTGGGCATTCTTGCCTTGTTCCAGATCTCAGGAGAAACGTTTTCCACTTTTTTCCGTTTAATATAATGTTGACTGTGTGTTTGTAATAGAGGGCTTAATAGAGGACATAAGTTATGTCTTTTCTATGTCAATTTTGCAAAGAGTTTTAATCATGAAGTGATGCTGGATTTTGTCAAGTATTTTTTCTGCATGTATTGAGATAATCATGTCATTTTTGTTTTTAATGCTTTTTATGTGGTATATCACATTTATTGACTCACATATGTTAAACCATCTCTGCATTCCCTGGTTTGAAAACCACTTGATCATTGTGGACTATGTTTTTGATAGCTGTTGGATACATAGAATAATTTAGGAAGGAGTCCCCCTTTTTCCTTCCTGTGGATTAATGCATTAGTCAGCGTTCTCTAGAGGGACACAAATAATGGAATATATATATATGTTTATTAAGTATTAACTCACATGAACACAAGGTCCAACAATAGGCTGTCTGCAGGCTGAGGAGCAAGGAGAGCCAGTCCGAGTTCCAAAACTGAAGAAGTTGGAGTTCCATATTTGAAGGCAGGAAGCATCCAGCATGGGAGAAAGATGTAGGCTGGGAGGCTATGCCCATCTCTCTTTTCATATTTTTCTACCTGCTTATTTTCTAGCCATGCTGTCAGCTGATTAGATTGTTCCCACCCAGATTAAGGGTGAGTGTGGCTTTCCCACCCACTGACAAAAATGTGAATCTCCTTTGGCAGCACCCTCAACAGACACACACACCAAGGATCAATACTTTTTTTCTTTTTTTTTTTTGGAGATGGAGTCTTGCTCTGTCACCCAAGCTGGAGTGCAGTGGCGCGATCTCCGCTCACTGCAAGCTCCGCCTCCAGGGTTCAAGCAATTCTTTGCCTCAGCCTCCCGAGTAGCTGGGACTACAGGTGCCCACCACCATGGCCGGCTAATTTTTTTGAATTTTTAGTAGAGACGGGGTTTCACCGTGTTAGCCAGGATGGTCTCGATCTCCTCACTTTGTGATCTGCCCGCCTTAGCCTCCCAAAGTGCTGGGATTACAGGCATGAGCCACTGCGCCCGGCCAATACTTTTTGTCCTTCAATCCAATCAAGTTGACGCTCAGTATTACTCATCACAAGTCCACTCCTTGTCAGCATGAACCCATATACAACTTGTGATATCGTACATAATCTTCAAATAAAGACAATAATAAAGTCATAATTACGCCTAACATAATACAATTATCCTTCATACAACCAGAACGCACGAATCCCTAACACAAATACTATTACATCAAGTTACTGATACTTAAATGCTGATGTGACGTCAATAAATCTTATGTTATATGATAAAGGAGAAAGGAAATAAAATGAAGATATTTTCTTAGTACGAGTTTATAGATGCGCAAACATGTTTTTAACAAAAGAAGGAGGAAATACTCTTGACAATTACACTCCTCGTTTCTGCCGCTGGCCATAGCTGGTATTGATGACTACCTTCTTCTACTACCCATTCTGTATTCCCTTTGCCTTCAGCAAGCACCTCAGTAGGTTGTGTTTTTTTTCCTGGTGGAGTGACCCAAATCTTCATTCCTGAAGGGTCCCATTGACCTTAATCACAGGGCATGGTAATAGCAAGAAATGCCCTAATGCATCTCCTGTATTCCATGCATGTTCTTCAGTAACTCCATTGTGGAGTAGTAAACTGATTTCATTTTGATAGTCTGGGTCAATCACCCCAGCCGACACTGTAACTCCCTTCTTAGCCATTGACTTAAAGGTAGGAGAAGCCCAAAATGTCCAGGTGGCAATCTTAACTTCCAGTTTAATGGAATCATTGTTGTGTCTCCAGGTGGTAGTGTTCCTTCCTCTGGAAGTAAATCCTTTGAGCCAGCAGAACATAATGTCTCAGGAACAGGAAGGAAAACATTTGCTAGTGGATCACTAGGGTTGATGGTGAGTGGTGCCACTTCCACTTCCACCCCTTGATTCCTGGATCCATGAATCCTGGCTACGGGAGGGACAGTACCATATATTGGATGCTGATTTAAAGCATACACAGCCATCTGGAGAACTTTGCCCTGGCCCTGCAAAGTATTGTCACCTAGTTGGCAATGTAATTGTGACTTCAAAAGCCATTCCACTGTTCTATCAATCCAGCTGTTTCAGGATGATGGGGAACATGGTAAGACCAGTGAATTTTGTGAGCTTGAGCCCACTGCTGCACTTCTTTAGTCATAAAGTGAGAGCCTTTGTCAGAGCATTGCTGTGTGGAATATGATGACAGTGAATGAGGCATTCCAAGAGTACACGGATGGTAGTCTCATAGGCAAACCAATATCTAGGATAAGTGTCTATTTCAGTTAAGACAAACCTCTGCCCTTCCTGTGATGGAAGAGGTCTGTTGTATTTCTCCTCACACAGGGCACCAGTTGAGATATTGCTCCTCAGAAGACAGCATTAGCTGCGGGGGTCTGCCTGCAGACCCTGACTCAAACGACGGATGAATAAAAACGGACACTGACACACAGATATTCTGTTTGGCCAGTCCGGCTGGGTTCTTTGATTCTGAGTGTCCGACAACATACACACCAGGAGAGGTTTGTCACTGTGGTGGGTCCTGAGCAGCTGGTACTCCAGGCATTTATTTAGTATACAATTAACAACAGAAGCTTTGAGTAAACACACTTGTGGATAATTAACATGGTTAAGAGAGTAGTTCTACGAATGATTAAAGCTCAGGTACCCTGGTCTAAAGTAAATACCATTACGGGGCAATATCCCTGGTTGACCTCCCACCGAGAGGGCCATCTGGCTCAAAGGTTAGTTAATGGAGATAGGGTAAACAGGCTTAACTGGGAAAGCCTCCATTGTCCCTAGCATTTACCCTATGACCTAATGCTCTAAGGTAAGAACCAGCTGCCTTCAGCCTGTACAATTATTACAAGCTATGTAACATTTTAGCCTTCCAAAATGTTTGTGATTATTCCCTATAACTTTCCCTAATATTTCCCTTTGATATTTCTGCCACCATCATGAGTGAATCCCAACAGAGGTCCAATATAATCAACCTGCCACCAGGTAGCTGGCTGATAACCCTAAGGAATGGTGCCACATCGAGGGCTCAGTGTTGGTCTCTGCTGCTGGCAAATTGGGCACTCAGCAGTGGCTGTAGCTAGGTCAGCCTTGGAGAGTGGAAGTCCATGTTGATGAGCCCATGTGTAACCTCCATTCCTGCCAGCATGGCCACTTCCCTCATGGGCCCATTGGGCGATGACAGGGGTGGCTGGGGAAAGAGGATGCGTGGTGTTCACAGAACTGGTCATACTCTCCTCTTGATTATTAAAATCCTCCTCTGCTGAGGTCACCCGTTGGTGAGCGCTCACATGGGATACAAATACTTTCACAGTTTTTGACCACTCAGAGAGGTCCATCCACATATCTTTTCCCCAAATTTCTTTGTCATCAATTTTCCAATCATACTTCTTCCTAGTCCCCGTGACAGTTACTACAGGACAGAATGAAGGGGGACTAACACAGAAATGAAGACAAAGACAAAGGGATCTGTTTTAAAGAAGGGGTCAGGGGGCTCCTTGCTTCTAGTGAGCAAGGGCCCTGAGCTACTGCAATCCTTCATATTTATTAGGTAGAAAGAACAGGGAGGAGGAGTTAACAGTTGGTCAGCTGCTTGATTTATCACAGGTTCACAGGATTGCTTTCTTTATACAACATACTTCAGATGTGCTGCAGATAATCAAAAGAAACACTGTGCTTGGGGCGTGACAGCTCTCAGCATTCGTTCTGGTGGTAGATGCAGTTTGTCGTTTGCCAACAACCTGCATTCATGAGAACAGCTTGCTGTTTGCTCCAGTGGTATACTGAGTTGGTCACAACCCTCATTCTTTCGGCCTCCAAGAAGTCCCTGATCGTCCAGCCAAACCGTTGGCTACAGCAAATAAATTCATATATAATCACACATCTGGAGATTTCTCCTTCCATGCAAAGAGCACAACCAGGTGTGCTCCTCAAAGTTCTGCCCAATGGGAAGATTTCCCTTCACCGCTGTACTTCAGGGATGTCCTGGAAAGGGGCTGTAGTGCTGCAGCTGTCCACTTTCCGGTGGTGCCTGCATATCATGCAGATACATTTGTGAACCAGGCCCTAGTCTTCTTTCTGTCAGCTGATCATAGTGAACTGCCCCTGAGACCACCAGTGCAGGCTGGGGGATAGTGCAGGCTGGTGGCAGGAGTGGAGGTCATGGACATTTGAGCCACTTCCCCATGTAATTTACTTGTGCCTTCAGCCCAAATACGTATATACCACTTCCACTGAATGATGGAATGCTGCTGTGCATGATCCACTTTATGGCTAAATGGGTTAGAAAGCACCCACTTCATGACAGGCAGTTCAGGTTGCATGGGGACTTTAAGACGCATAGTCAAATGTTCAGTTTCCACCAAAGCCCAGTAATAGGCCAAGAGCTGTCTCTCAAAAAGAGAGTAGCTACCTGCAGAAGATGGCAGGGCCTTGCACCAAAATCCTAGAGGCCTCCACTGTGATTCACTTACAGTGGCCTGACAAAGACTCCAAGTAGCTTTGCTATCTGCCGCTGACACCCAAATACCATTGGGTCTGTTGGGTCATACGGCCCAAGTGGCAGAGCAGCTTGCACAGCAGCCTGGACCTGTTGCAGAGCCTTCTCCTGTTCTGAATCCCACTCAAACCTGGCAGCCTTTTGGGTTACTTGATAAATGGACTGGAGTAACACACCCAAATTAGAGATATGTTGCCTCCAAAATCCAAATAGGCCCACTAGCCATTGTGCCTTTCTTGGTTGTAGGAGGGGCTAAATGCAGCAACTTATCCTTCACCTTAGAAGGAATGCCTCGACAGGCCCTACACCACTGGACACCTAGAAATTTTATTGAGGTAGAATGCCCTTGAATTTTAGTTGGATTTACCGCCCATCCTCTTGCATGCAAATGTCTCACCAGTAAGTCCACTGTGTTTGCTACTTCTTGCTCACTGGATGCAACCAGCACAATGTCATCAATTTAATGGGTCAGTGTTATATCTTGCAAAAGAGACAAGCAATCAAAATTTCTTTGAATAAGATTATGACACACAGCTGGAGAGCTCATATACCCCTGAGGTAGGACCGTAAAAGTATATTGCTGGCCTTGCCTGCTGAACGCAAATTGCTTCTGGTGGGCCTTATGGACCGGAATGGAGAAAAAGGCATTTTCCAAGTCAATGGCTGCATATGAGGTGCCAGGAGATGCATTAATTTGCTCAAGCAAGGAAACCACATCTGGTACAGCAGCTGCGATTGGAGTCACCACTTGGTTAAACTTCCGATAATCCACTATAATTCTCCAAGATCCATCTATCTTCTGCACAGGCCAAATGGGAGAGTTGAAAGGGGATGTTGTGAGAATCACCACCCCTGCATTTTTCAAGTCCTTGATGGTATCACTAATCTCTGCAATCCCTCCACAGATGCAATATTGTGGGTTTATTTTTTTTTAATAAAGTTTCACTCTGTTGCCCAGGCTAAACTACGATGGCAGAATCATGGCTCACTGAAACCTCCATCTCTGGTTTCAAGCAATTCTCCTGCCTCAGCCTCCCAAGTAGCTGGGATTACAGGTATGTACCATCACACCCCACTAATTTTTTGTATTTAGTGTAGATGAGGTTTCACCATGTTGGTCAGGCTGGTCTCGAACTCCTGACCTCAGGTGAGGTGATCCACACTAAGATCCAGCTTATGTGGATCTTTTCTCTTCTTTTCTTGGTTAATCTCACTAGTGGTATATATAATTTTATTTATCTTGTCTAAGAATTGGTTTTTGTTTCATTTATCTTTTCTATCATTTTTTTGTTTGAATTTTATTTAGTTCTGGTCTGATATTGCTATTTCCTCTCTTCTGCTGGGTTTGGGTTTGCATTGTTCTTGATTCTCCATTTCCATGAGGTGTAACCTTAGATTGTCTATTTGTGCTCTTTCAGACTTTGTGATGTACGTATTTAATTCTAAACATTCCTCATAGCACTGCTTTTGCTGTATCCCAGAGGTTTTGATAGGTTTTATCAAGATTTAGTACAACTGCAACCTTACTATTGGCCAACGGCTTTTGAATTCCTAAGAGTGTGACCTCATTTAATCCTGACAACAGCTTTATGATTGCTTTTCATTCAGTAGGTCGTGATTAGAGAGGGAGTGCTTGTGGCCTGGATGGAAGGTTCTCCAGTTTATCAAATAAAAACACCGAAGGTCAGTTAAATTTGAATTCAGTAAAACAATGACAAAGAATTAGTATGTGTAACTCCCACACAATATTGTTCATTTGAGATACAAACTTACCTTGTAGTTCATCTGCCAACTGCACACAGGGTTCAAAGCCTGGAAGAGGCAGAGTTAGAGCTGGTCTTCTCTTCCTGATGCCAGGTCTATGAGCTGAACCTCAAAGACAGGGCTTCTCTAACACAGCTACCCTCAAGTAAGCACATCGGTTAGCACTAAATACACAGTATACGATGCCCAATCAATAATGCCTACTCACTTTTCTAATTCTTCTTTCTATTATTCTTCAAATCTGCAGACTCAAGACCTCCCGAAACATTGCGGCAGCCAGGATTTTGAATGAGGGTCCTCATATGTCTTTCCAAACAAGATGCAAGGATGCTCCTTGGTCCCTACACAGAGGGGCTTAAGCCAGGAGTGCATAAGTAACATGTAAGAGACAGAAGAACTCAACCTGTCTCTCCCTCTGTGCAGTGAAACACCTAATTCCAGGGTTCTTTGATTCTGAAGGTGGGTGGGCTGAGAGAAAGAGGAGCCCCACCCTGAGAGCTCCGAGTATTCAGGACAAGACTTGGCAGCCTGAATAGGGGCTATACTCTTGAGTGTGGAAGAAGCAGGCATCTCTGGGGCACAGGCTGCTCTTCTGGTGGCTTCTCCTTCACCAAACTGGGCTCCCTGCTGTGATGTCTATCAGAGAATCTCCTTCAGTAAGACCAAGATTCCAGGATTTAACTAAAAATAGCAGCACAGACCAGAAAGGTATGTCATGGTACTTGAATTCTGTGCAGAGCAATAAGTACAAATGCAGCTTAACAGGGGCCTTCACAGTTGTATCTTTGGTGAAGGAGAAAATAGACAATGGCAGGGAGAAACTGAAGGACTCAGTAGGTCTGGAACTGGGGCAGCACTGGGTGCTATAAGCTTGTCCTTCAGGGGTCTACAGATGCTGACACCTGGGAAGTCATCCTGCATCATCTGCTCACTGCTCACTGGGCTCAGCAGCTATGTCCTCACAAATAACCAGATTCAATCAACCTGGCCTTCTCCACCCAACCTGGGGAATGTATTCCAGTGACTGTTTCAACTGAGGTTCTATGAAGGGGTTGGGGGATAAGAAGAGGGGACTGATTTGCTTGAAGAAACCATTGCACATCCTTTCCTTTCATCTAAAACCTATTAATGGAAACTCTGAGGCCACCCATAGAAGTCTAGCTGGTCTTCTAAATTTGGGAGTTACGAAGGAGTCATTCCTGATCAATCTACAGGATAAGGGGCCATCAGCAGCTGGTGGTCAGAGTGAGGGAGAAACTGGCTTCCTTGAGAGACTCATCAGCACAGCCACCAACTCTGGGGAAAATGGGGCACTTGCTATAACAGTCACCCCAAACTACTCACAGGAGCCTGAGCCTCGTCCCCTCACCTTATTGTTTCTGATTCTGGTCCATGCCTCTGTTTTCCCTGGACCCCTCGCCCATGTCTGAGTCCAGGGTAGCAGGGGTAGTTCCATCCCAGTCAACATCTATACAGAAGTAACAGCTGCTATGGCTTGAAGCCGAGTCTACAGTTCTACCCATGAGGGCCTCTTTTTCTCCCCAATCCCCTCACACAGGTGACCAGTGCTGTGGGTCTGGTGGAGTGGCCACTGGCCACTGGTCCCAGGCGAACACAAAGTATTTATTCCTCTCTAACACCAGGCATATATTGGAGGGGGTTTGGTGGGTGTAGAACAGAGTGGTTCTTCCAGATGCAAAGCAGTAAGACCCTGTCTACAGAAAGTCATTTCACAAACCTCCACACCCTTTCATGATAAAAACGCTCAGTGAACTATGAATACAAAGAAACTACCCTAACATAGTAAAAGCTATCTATGAAAATCCCACAGTCAACATCATACATAATCTTAAAGACCAAAGATATGTTTTTGTAATATCAGGAACATAGCAACAATGTACACTTTCACTGCTTCTATTCAAAACAGTATTGAAAGTCCTAGCCATAGCAATAAGGCAAGAGAAATAAATAAACAGGATAACAATTAGAAATAAAAAGTAAAACTATCTCTGTTTTCAATGGATTTAATGTCATATGTAGAATACCCTTAAAAGTTCCACAAAACAGCTTTTGTCAGAATGATTAAATGTATTCTGTAATGTTCAGAATACAAAATCACCATGTAAAAACATCTCATGGCTGGGCATGGTGAATCACGCCTATAATCCTGGCACTTTGAGAGGCTGAGGTGGGAGGATTACTTGGGATCAAGAGTTCAAGGACAGCCTGGGCTACAAAGCAAGAGCCTGTCTCAAGAAGAAAAAAGAAAGAAAGAGAGAAACAAAGAAAGAGATAGAAAGAAAGAAAGAAAGAAAGAAAGAAAGAAAGAAAGAAAGAAGAAAGAAAATCTCTTATATTTCAATACTTAGAAAATCTCTTATATTTCAATATTTAAACAAGGACACAGGAAAAAACCCAAAACAAAATTAATAAAACAAATCAAATTTCAACATCATTAGAGAGAGTAAAATATGGCTGGGCACAGTAGCTCATGCCTGCAATCTCAGCATTTTGGGAGGCTGATTTGGACGGATCATCTGAGGTTAGAAGTTCAAGACCAGCCTCAACAATATGGTAAAGCCTCGTTCCTACAAGATAAAATAAAATAAAATTGCTAGCTGTGGTGGCACATGCCTGTAATCCCAGCTACTCAGGGGTCCAAGTCACAAGAATTGCTTCAGCCTAGGAGGGACAGGTTGCAGTGAGCCAAGATCTTGCCACTGTACTCCAGCCTGGGTGACAGTGAGACATTGTCTCAAAGAAACAAATAAATAAAAATGAAACAGTAAAATACTTAAGAATAAAGTTATTCAAAGAGGTGAAAGACTTGTAGATTGAAAAGTATAAAACATTACTAAAAGAAATTAAAGAATACACAAATAAATGGAAAGAAATCCTTTGTTCGTATACTGGAAAACTCAGTATTGTTATGCTAGCAAAACAAACCAGGAGGAATTGACAGATTCATTTCAATCTCTGAAAACATTCCAGTAATATTTTATGCAAGAATAGAAAAAAATTAAACCTAAAATTTATATAGAGTATGAAGGGAACCTAAACAGTCAAAGTCATCTTGTAAAAGAAGACCAGTGTTGGAGGTCTCACACTTTCTGATTTCAAAACATACTACAAAGCTACACTAATCAAAACAGAGTGGTATATATGTAACATACATACTGACAAATAAAATAGAACTGAGTGCCTAGAAAAAAAACTCTTAGTTATACAGTCAAATAATTTTAAACAAGGTTGTCAAGACTTTTCAGTGGAAACAGTACAGTCTTTCACAAATATAGACGTTCTGGGAAATAATACTGAATGGCTTTTGCTATTGTTGTTTTTGAATGGTCTCAAATGTTCTCTCAAAGATGCTACAGAACATAGCTTATTGATTTTGTAAGTTAAAAGGCTGAGTAAGACTGTGAGAGACTCCCTGCTCATCATCATTCTTCTTCCACTTCCAGTGACTACTCTTATATTCTGTGCCATAAGCCAACAGCTACTGACCCCAGGATCTTTTAATCCTTCTGTAAAACTGTCATTAAAAAAAAATTGTCGAAAGTAAATTTTTTAAAAAATTCTCACTTAAACCAGCTGTTTATCCAATATAAGGCTCAACACAAATAGTTACAGAAAGCCAGTAGGTCATTAAAACAATTAATTTAGTCATTCAAATAAAAATGAACACCATGTAACACTAATATCAAATTATAGTCACAGGGGCAGAATTTCAGCAACAGCAAGAGAAAGTAGCACAAATAGGAATGAGCAAAGAATAGACAATTAATGAGTGTGAATTGGCCTGGAAAATATTGTGGCAATGTCCAAAGATAAATCCACAGTTATTTGTGAAACAAGTGAAAGACCACGCATTCTCAGTCCAGGAAAGCCACCAGGGGGTGGTCTGGGTCTCTTGGACTGTAAGAAGCTCAAGAGGTCCAAACTTCATGAACCCTGCACAGGTGCTCATTGACTCATGTAAATGTTAGAGCAGCTGCTTCCTCCCACAGGACAAATCCACAGCACACAGCCTCCCTGGGCTGGCCCCTCACAGTGTAGCTGCTCTCAGGCCTGTGGACCCAGGTGGTGATAAAGGCAGTAAAGATTTGCATAAAGCAGCACACAGCACACCCCCTCCATGGAGAGAGCTCAATAGGAGATAAAGAGCCATCAGAATCCAGCCCCAGCTCTGGCGCCAGGGGTCCCTTCCAATATCAGCACCATGGCCTGGACTCCTCTCTTTCTGTTCCTCCTCACTTGCTGCCCAGGTTAAGAGAGATTTCAAATACCAGCCTTTGGAGGGATCCTTCTGTCTGCCCTTCTAATTTCTAACATGTGTCTGTTTTTTGTTTCAGGGTCCAATTCTCAGACTGTGGTGACTCAGGAGCCCTCACTGACTGTGTCCCCAGGAGGGACAGTCACTCTCACCTGTGCTTCCAGCACTGGAGCAGTCACCAGTGGTTACTATCCAAACTGGTTCCAGCAGAAACCTGGACAAGCACCCAGGGCACTGATTTATAGTACAAGCAACAAACACTCCTGGACCCCTGCCCGGTTCTCAGGCTCCCTCCTTGGGGGCAAAGCTGCCCTGACACTGTCAGGTGTGCAGCCTGAGGACGAGGCTGAGTATTACTGCCTGCTCTACTATGGTGGTGCTCAGCACAGTGACAGACTCATAAGAGGAACCAAGACATAAACCTCCCTCGGCCCTTGTGATGTGGAGATTGTGTGATCATACACACCAGCTCTCAAGACAGCCTACATGTGGACCAGCCATAGAAAGGGGAAGGAAAGGGTCTGAATTGATTTCTATCCCTCCTTGTGCCCTGAAGTGGAGGAAATGTGAGAGTGATTTGCAGTAATTGAATGAGACAAAGCAAAAGTTATTTGTTTTATATGAAAAAAAAACAGAAACAGCAGGATCAGATCTAAAGGCTGAGTCTAAATGCATTTCCTCCAGACAGAAGCTTCTTCAAACGATGGGCTTTCTGAGCTAAGAGCAAAGAAAATAAACTCTCCACGGGTATATTATTAAAGTTTATTTTATTGAGTTACTTTCAAAGCAATCCATGACTATTATATAAAGTCAGAAAGTATTAAAAATCACCAAGTTCTCTGCTAAGCTACCTTATCCCATGCAATCAAAATAAGTACTTTTCTTCATTTGGATGCATTTTTTATTTCTGTTTTTAATATTTCCACAATGGTGATTAAACCTGGTGCTCATTCCTCTGGTTTGATCCACCTTTATGCTCTTGTCATTTAAAGTTAATGTAAGTAGTGTTCCATTTATTTAAAAGGATAAAATATTTTAATAGTTGATCATTGCATTTTGAACTGAGTACCAGTGAAGTATTCTAGCTTTTAGGTAATTTCAATTGTTTGCTAGTCAATGATGTTATACGTTGTTGTCATTAAACCATTCCTGGTCATTTCTGTGGATTTTGTGAGGTCAGAGAAAATGTCTGTGCTTTTCAATGGAAAGCCTTGGGTACATTATTCCTGACTTCCCAATGCACAAAATAGAGAAACACAAATTTCCTGCTCATGTTAGTTAGAGCATAAGAGATTCAGGTACGAGGAACAATTTATACCCCAAACTACATACAGTGTCTTCAGGCATGTATTAGAAGTGTACTTCTCAAACTCTCTGATACCCTTAGTTCTGAAGAAGCTCAAAGTTGGCTAATACTTTTATATTTATCTTTTTATTTTTTTTACCTCAGCCAGCACTTTCTCCTGATTCCTGGGGTTTTCTGCATTTCCAGTGAATCCAGTGAATCACACAAATAGGCTAACTGATTCTTCCCAAACTCCAGCACTCTCCCTTATGTGCTGATCTAGTGAGGAATCACATGGGAAGAGAGACCCATGGATTTCTGGCGGCCTGGGAAGTGAGTTCATGGCTGGCCTCAGCTTGCAAACCAGACACTTGTCTCCTTGTTTCCCTTTACTGTTCATTGGGTTCAGCAGCTGTGTCCTTCCAGGTTTCCTGGACAGTGATGGACCACACTCTCCCAACTCCCAACCACCCGCTCCTCAAAAAGAATAACCAGACTCAGCAACTTATGTGAGGGGCACAGCCAGGGGTCAGGATAGATTGGCATTAAGTCCCCTCAATTAAGAGAGGCCAGGGAAGGGGGGCTGTTCCCCCTAATCCGTGTGGCTCAGGAAGCAGAGCTCTAGAGACATCTCTACCATGGCCTGCACCCCCTCCTCCTCACCCTCCTCAGTCGCGGCACAGGTGGCTGGAGACAGGGAGTCAGGGACTGGCACTGGCAGGACCAGGGCTCTGCTTTGCTCCCCTGGCTCACTGAGCTGCCTCCCTCACCCTGTGTCTCTCTCCCGACTCTCAGGGTCCCGGGCAATCATGGCTCATCAGGTAACCTGCACCGTCTGTCTGTGGCTAAACCAGCCACCATCTCCTGAACTGGAAGCAGCAGCAATAAGGTTCTTGGAATTGTGACCTGGTGCCAACAATGACCAGGAAGTGCCTCCAAGCTTCTGACTCATAGAAGTAAATATCTGCCCGCAGGGATTCAGGACAGACGCTCAGGCTACCAGTCTTGCATGAAGCCCTTCCTAAGCATCTCTGGGCTTTAGGCTGAGGACAAGGCTGATCACTCCTGTTGGCTTCAGACAGCCCCCTGGAGGTCCAAACAGTGCTGCAGTCTGGGAAAGTGAGATGAGAACACGCCAGGTCTCCTAGGAGCATGACCTTCCAATGGCACCACCCACAACCAGGACAGCTGGTCTGTTTACCATTTGTGTGGATGTTTCTTGATGCTGCCGCTAACCAGGGCCCAAGACTTAGTTCGGGGACAGTGATCTAGAGAATACAGCTTTGTTCTCTCACAGCCAGCCCTCAGAGGAAGCCCTTAGCAACAGCATTGTCAGACTGCCTCAAAAAAATCAGAGTCTTTGATTCCAGGAACAGGCTGCCCTGGGGACAGACTCAAGATGAGTCAGGGTAAGCAGGGACAGAATCCAGCTGGGTCTGCCTCAGGCATGTGCACTAACGCAAAGGTCTGTTCATCCTTATTGTCTACTAAACACCTATTATGTGCCAGTCTCAGGAGAGTGCTCAGGATACAGAGTTTACAAGACAGACAGGGTTCCTGTCTTTACAGGGATAATGCCTCACAGAAGAGTGAGCACCAACAAATCAATGAGAATAAGGCATATTGTGAGCTATAAAATGGTTGACATGGGCCAGAAGACAGTGAGCAACAAGAAGCTATTAGGAGGTTGTAAGCAAGGAGATACAGACTCTGGTTTGAGATTCAGGAGGCAAAGTCCAGCTTCTCTAAGGAAGATGAAAAAGGAGGGGACAGAGTGAAGAAAGATGGTCCAGTTAGGACATGGTGGCTTTGTACACATGAGAGATGAGGTTTCTGGCAAGTAATGTGGCAGCTGAGCTGGGAAGACTGTGTGTGACTCACACCATGGAGAGAAGGACTAGAGGAAGGAGGCCAATGGTTGAGGCCCTGAGCGTGTCCTTGTGATGGAAACCTGACAACAGCCTGCAACTGTGATCGAGTGTGTCACTCTCCTCTTCTCTCTGGAAAGCTCACAGGACTCAGGACTCATTGCTGCCCTTCCCTCCTATCAATAAGATTAATGCGAACCATCACTTTACACACCTGAAAAGAGACCTGGTTACTTTCTTTTATTTATTTATATATATATATATGCGGATATATATATATATATGCGGATATATATATTTTATATTGATATTGATATATATTTGCATATATTTATATATCTTATATATAATATATATATGCTGTTTTTATTTATATTATTCTGAATTTTTTTTATTATACTTTAAGTTCTAGGGTACATGTGCACCACATGCAGGTTGGTTACATATGTATACATGCGCCATGCTGGGTGTGCTGCATTTAGCTCAGCGGTTACTTCACATGTGATCAAACCACCTCTCTGGTTACTTTCTATTGAGCAAAAGCCCCAAGGGTCGGGACAGAGCACTGCAGAGCACATGGGATGATGCCCTACACACTCAAGGGGCTGCTGTTACTGCTGTTAAAGCTCACGATCAAACCTCCCAGAGCTCTGTCAGAAACCATGAGACGGGAGGTGTCAGTGCTGAAGTAGCTGATTTGGGAGCACACTGATTTGTGGTACGTGCAGGTGCAGGAGACTGAGGACTGAGGCCCGGCACAGGCAAATGGCTCCCAAGGTGTCATTATGGGGCAGGGCGCTTGTAGCCTCCTCAGTGATAGGTGGGGGTAAAGGTCAATTAAAAAGCTGGAGAGCAGTGGAAAGGCAGGATTCTGAGTCTGGGCAAGGAAAGGAGGTCCAGCCCCCGCCCAGGCATCCTTATTCACCCTTCTCTTTACCTTCCTTCCTCCCTGCCACCTTCCCAGGGAAGGCTTCCAGGGCTGTGGTGTCTCTGCTGCTCTTCCTCTGTCACAAAGAGAGCAGTAGGGAGGTTATCTGATGGCAAAGCTATCTCCTCACACTCAGTTGTCTAGTTACCCTGAGGAATTCCTCTGGAAGATGGGAATGTTCTGTTTTACCTCTGGCCTACAGTGAGATCTCAGCCATTAATGAAGCCAAGAAGAATGACCACATTCTGTTTACACAGGATTATTTATAACACACATAGTCAAATAACACCATCAAGTTCTAAGCACGTCAATCCATTCTTCAGAATTATAGAAATGCATGTCTCTCAGCTGTCAGCAATGGGCTTCAAATCCCCAGGGTGACTAATGGGTCAGGGTGGGATCAGCCACATGAAGAGGTTTCTTTACAGTTAGTGACTCTGTTCACTGTGTTTCCCCTGCTGAGATCCAACCTCCATGAGATTCTTCACTGTAGTTGTTGCTGTTTTCTATCTTGTCATTGCTGTACCTACAGAGACGAAAACACTGCCTGGCACTAAGGACAGGCTCAATACATGTTTGTTAAATATGTGAGTTCACCTACATTGGAATTCCAAAAAGAGATACAGATCTGAGGTCAAGATAATACTTTTTAAAAAAATTCTGGATATTTTGTGTTTGAGATTCCAAGTTCATTCAATAGAAGATATTAAGCAAGAACTTTTGCCTTTGGATTTGGTTAGCAGGAGAAGGATATGGATATAAAAATACATATATATCACACACACCGCCCCATGGCCCAGAGACTTTAGAACCCAACTGATCTCTGCAGCTGCCAATCACGGCCTCTGTTCATTCACTTATGGTCTGATTCCCATGGATCCATATATGCTGGATCCCATGGGTTCATGTGGAGAAAGTGGAGAGGATGTGATGGGCTTTCCCAGTCCTGCTTAAAGAAACCACAGGAAGCAAGTAGATCATAAAGCAAATTCTGGGGACAGAATTCCCTCGAGAGCAAATAAACTGCAGAATATGGGTGAACTGGGAAAATTTCTGGTAATATTTATACAACTAAGAAACTTTACATTAGATACCCTTCAACACAATATTCATTACAGAGCTTTAAATCAGCCATATGATCAATGCAATTCAAACATTAAACTCATCCACCCGAAGTCCCATAATAGGCTTTGTTGAGGAAATTCTTGAAGGAAGAATGATGGGTTTGTGAGCTCTGTGTCCACAGAAGAGATATTTCTGCACTAGGAGGACTTGGTAAAGCTGATAAATAATTAGGAATGTAGGTGCCCATCTGGACTATATTCTAATCCAACATGCAATGCTGTGAGTCCTGTATCTGCAAATCTTAGCATTCATTGTACTTCCTTCAATTTCCCAATTATTACAATAAATTAACTTTAGACATGGATGATCAAAAAAAATCAATTAATGTGAGAATCCTTGAAATCTGTTGCTTTAATGCGCAAAAATTAGGGAATACTTCACATGTATATATTGGTTAATTTATATACCAATGATATGCTACCTCTTCATTGGTCTACTGTAAAAATCACCTAGCCAGGGGCTAAGTTGATGGGTAAAAGGTGTTGAAAAGTTAAACAACATGAACCACATTGATGATGGTCAAAGTTGGCTGAGGGATACAAACAATTCATTAGAAAATTATCAGTCTGTTTGTGTGACTCAAAAGTTTCCATGATAACCAGTGTTAAAGTATCCTTGTTTATGATGAGATGATTGTGTTCTGCTTTTAACAGGTGTACAATGTGGACAAAATGCAAGCTTACACTTTGATTTCAAGTAGAAGACCATCTTCTCCCAACAGGCAGAGGAGAAGCTGGGGTGGAGGTCATGGAAAAGACAGGAGCTCAGGGTTTCCCAGGACAGACAGGCGAGTGAGTCTGGAGCCCTCAAATGAAGAGGAGGGGCTGTGAGTTGGGCTGTGGGGGTGTGCAGGGGCCACAGTGTGAAGGGCATGCTGCGGAGGCCTCAGGGCTCAGGTTTTATAAAAATGAGGAGTTACTGAAGGGGTTTAAGCCAGGGAGTGCCTTCCCTGCCTCATCTGAATGAGAGAGATCTCTCCGAATGCCCTGAGGAGAGTGCCTGAGGGAAGTGAGTGATCCTGATTCTAGATTATTCGCTAAAGCACCTCGTGAGTCTAGAAATTCAGGGGCCATTTGCACAGTTAGTACAAGAGTAGACGTGGTACTTTGAGGAGGGATGGTCTCTGCCTTTGTCTCCTGAGACATCCAACTCACTTGCAAGAGAACTTTGAGGGCAAAATACATACTGATCTTTCTAATAAACTGAAAACATCCAGTCAGAAAATACATGTGGCAACATCACATTACAAAGAAATAGTATAACATCTAGGACAAATTCTTGACCAAAAAATATGACAGAACTGTGCAGACAATGACAAGTTTTACTTAGGGAGATAATGGCTAACTTCATAAAATAGAGAAATACATAATTGTTCACTGATAAAGGTAAGTCTACCAAATCTATTAGTTTTCCTGTATTACTAAATTGAGTCAAATCCCTATAAAACATATGAAACCATTGCATATATAACTTTTGCTAAATTGCTGCCTTTAACATGTCAAGAATTTTTTTATTTTTCCTGGAAAAGTCTCATTATTCACCGTCCTTTTGGACAGCCCCCAGCTGCCCTTCAACCCAGCTCCTTAGCTGATCACTTTTCCATAATGCCCACCCTAATGGCACATGTGGGCAATTAGATTTTTCTAGAATGCCCTGCGGTGATGCTGACACCTGTAAAAGTTATATATGTACATGTCTGCACATCCCACAGACCAGGACTACTACTGGGAGTGAGAAATCACACTAGTAATTCATAGCATAATAGAAGTGTCTAGGAATCAGATCAAGGATATGTGAATCCAGAGACTGACTGGTGAATGGTAGAGACCAGCTGGGTTTTGAAGTCTCTGAGCCATGGGAAAGTGTGTGTCCGGGGACCAGCGTCGGATGTTGTGGGGCTGCCCTGTGGGTGCTACACAGCTGTTCAGTAAGGAACATTCACTCAAAGAAATCCAGGCCTTGGGTCTGGGCCCTGTGCTCACTGATGGACACTCAGCAGCTGTGTCCCCTCTGGCCTGGCAGAGTTCTCTGAGCAGGGACCTGTGTATCGTCTCAACAGGTGCTTCCTCCCAGGACCTTGCAAGAAAAAAAACAAACCTTCCTCCTGCTTAGTCTGCAGAGTGAGGTGAGCTGCATGCCCAGGTCTCAAGGAGGGGCTGGGCAGTCCCTGGGTGGAAACACATTTGCATGAGCAGCCCCTCCTCTGCAGAGGGTGGGAAGAAAAGGAGGCCTGGGGCAGCCCAGTCCCACTGTGGGGTAAGAGGCTGTGTCCACCATGGCCTGGACTCCTCTCCTCCTCCTGCTCCTCTCTCACTGCACAGGTAGGAAAAGGCCTAACAGACCAGGGCCAGCACCTCAGCCTGATTCTGACTCTTCTGGCAAAGATCCCTAAAAAACTTTACCCTCCATTCTGCCTTATCACTCATAAATGCCTGTGTTTCTAGGTTCCCTCTCGCAGCCTGTGCTGACTCAGCCAACCTCCCTCTCAGCATCTCCTGGAGCATCAGCCAGATTCACCTGCACCTTGCGCAGTGGCATCAATGTTGGTACCTACAGGATATACTGGTACCAGCAGAAGCCAGGGAGTCTTCCCCGGTATCTCCTGAGGTACAAATCAGACTCAGATAAGCAGCAGGGCTCTGGAGTCCCCAGCCGCTTCTCTGGATCCAAAGATGCTTCAACCAATGCAGGCCTTTTACTCATCTCTGGGCTCCAGTCTGAAGATGAGGCTGACTATTACTGTGCCATTTGGTACAGCAGCACTTCTCACAGTGACACACACACATGGGGAAGTGGGACAAAAACCTCACCCTGCTCTCACTCTTGTTCTGTGACAATTTTCAAATTGTAAACTTAACTTGCCTATTTACAAAGTATATTTGGAAGTACTTTCTTGTGGTAACAGGCTTTTCTCTCCATTTCCCTTTCACTGCTTTTGAAGTCTGAGTAAAACAAAAACAAAACAAAACCACCTGATGACGCTAAACTGTTGGATGGTTGTCCGTATGTGCTAAAAACCAGTGCCTGTGGAGCTGGGCCTTTTTCTCTTGAGAGAAGCAAAATGTGCCTTTTCTAGCTCACATTGTAGTCAGAGCCTGAGAATATCCTAGCAGGTAAATAGTCCAGAGACCCGCTCTTCCATTTCCAGTAGTCTGTGCTCAGGGCTGTCCACGGCTCACTGTGTCCCAGGATCAAAGCACTAAAATGTAAAATGCTTCATGCGGATACAGTTCAGGGAGGAACTCCAGACATAAACCTGGCCTGGCCCAGTCCCAGGTACCTGCATTTCAGTTTCAATGTCAGGAGAGCTGATGAGGTGTGGGGGTAACTGGATCTGAGGCCAGGAAATCACTCTGTAGGACATGGGAGAATAAACGAGTAGGGGGTGGGGGTCTCCATCATGGCTTAGACAAAGCTGAGGCTGCTCCTGGGCCACTGGTAGAAGTAGGTTCCATGGATGAGACTTTCCTCCAGCTCATCCCACTCAGAATCACGGGAACTTCCGAGGGTGGTTTTCCTGAACTCTTGGGGTCTGACTGTATTATTTTCTCTTCTCTTACACCATTAGCTTTTCACTGAGTCAGAGTCTAGTCAGTGCAATATCTGGGTATAGAAACTGCCCAATATTTGCTTCAAGTGACTCCTCCCCATGAAACTCTTGAGGAGGCCTACAACTTGATGTCACCTTTTCCTGCATGGGGAGCAGCAGAAGCATTGGGCAGTCCCATGGAAATGGCTACTGAGGGCTCCCAGGGAGAACCCCTCTATTTGTGACCCAGGACAACAGTGATGGACCTTCAGGGATCCCAGCCTGATTCTCCTGCTCTGGCTTTGTCCACGTTGCCTCCATGACCAGCTCTGGGTTCTAGGCCGAGGACACGGCTGATTATAAGTGTCATCCAGCTGCATCCAGACTCCATATCACCAGAAGCTCCTGGTCCATGGAGAAGTGAGAGAAAGATTTGTTCCCAGCTCCTCCTGTCTTCCCCATCCCTCCTTTATCCCTGCCTGTGACCAACACCACTTCATGCCAAGGCTTCTGCTGTCACTTGTGTTACTGAAAGTGGAGCATGGGTTCAGTGAAGAGAACTTGTTTGTCCCAGTGGAAACAGAATCAATTTGTTTCTAGAAGCAAAAGGAGGAGGCTACCCATGGTGTGGATGAGGTGGGCATGACAAGAAAGAAGAATCCAGACTGTGAGACCCAGAGACCCAGGTGCCCTCTGCTTGGCCCCATAGGTGTCCTCTCCTTTGGTGGAGGTATGGTGGCCATTTCCTGAGCTCTGAGACTGTTGGAGAGATGACAAGAAAGGAGAACCCAGCCTGTGTGACCCAGAGACCCATATGTGAGAGTGGAAGTCTGATACTTAAGAAAACATGGAATCAACATTCTGAAAGCTTTGGCTCTGTCTTGGACTATGGCTGGTGTAGAAGAGAAGCAAGAGAGATGCTCAGCCTTGGGTGGCCCAGGCACAGCTGTCCTGTCAAGGGGCAGAGCTCTCTGCAATGTGGGTTTTCTGTAGAGATATGCTTAAGGAGGCTGCAGTTTAAGGATGATGCAAAAAAGCTATCTACAGTGAGCAGGGGATGGTTTATGGGGGAATGAGGCAAAAGGTATGGGGTCAGATGTGGTAAGGAGGGTGCAGCCTGAAGAAGAGACTGTCTTTGGGAGCCTTTTGAGGAGGAGTCCCAGGGCCCAGAGCAGTGACAAATAGAAAACCTGGAAGGGCCTGGGCCCTGGAGACACAGAGGCACAGGGTCTTGGGTCTGTTCTGGAGGGTCCCTGAAGAGGATGACATAACAAAACTACTATGGTCAGTGTCCTCTGTCCAGTGTTCCCGGTCCCAGCTACTGTCCCTTCCAGAGCCTCTGTGTGTCCAGGTTTCTCCCCTGAAGTTGCTTTCTCAGCACCAGCCCCCAGGAGCAGGTTCACCTTCTGTGCCCAGAGTGGGGCTTGCACAGCTGAGTGGAGAAGGCCAGATTTACAAGAATGTCCTGTGTCTGCCCATGTTGTAAGGGGTGGGTGAGCAAGTGGGGGCATTTGAGCTCCTCTAAGGACCTGAAAGAGCATAGGTCCTCCCCAAGACCTGGACTCCTTACTTCATCCCCCTCCCATCACTCTCCTCACTGCAGCTATGGCCAGGTGACAGCTCAGGGCTACTTGAGGACCTTGCACAGCCCAGGGCCTCCATCCCAGGCATTATCTCCAAACTCTGTAAGGGCTGTCTCTGAAACTGTAGAAACATTTATTTCTATGTGCCCAGGAAAGAGTTAGAGGGCACTGACCCAATCCCTTGCAAGCTGCTCATCAGCTGTCAGGGCCCTAGTGAGGAGAAGAAAGAGTTAGAAATCAGGAATCTACCCAGGGCTCCCCTATCTCCTCTCTCCTCTCTCCCAGCTACCACCTGGCTTCTTCTATCCAAAGAAATAAAGAGGAGGTGGCCACAGAGGGCAAGGGGAGGGCCAGGCAATATCCGAGGCAGCAGAGCCAGGCAGTCCCCCGGGGTGGTGTGGGGAGGTGCTGGAGGTGTCTGGGACCAGGGAATAGTGAGGACCCTCTTTCTAAAGTGAGGAGGGGTGGCATAAACTGAGGCCTAGATGGTGAACCAGATCTCCTGAGCCATCTACTCATTTTTTCTTCTGTTGCAGCCTGGGTAAGAATAGGACAAAAGAGTCTTTGAGGGGGTTTTTATTCCTCAGCTAAGAATCCTCAGAGGATTGACTCGGGAGTTGAGGGGAGACTGAGCCTCGCTCTCAGGCCAAAAGAGCTTGGGGCTTTCAAGGGAATTGGATAGAACTGAAGTTCCCAGACTCTGGCATCTAAGACGTAACCCCCTTCGCAAGCCCAGCACTGATACCAAAATGGAAGATGGCTGATAGATAAGTCTAGAAAAGCCTAGATGAAATAATCCTGGGGCTTAATCCTAAATCTAGAAAGAGAAGTGGGTTTTATGGTATAAAGCACAGTGAGGATTAGATCTTGAGTCTTAAGACTTGGGCTTGAAGTCAGACATGGTGGTGCGCACCTGTAGTCCCACGTTTTTGGGAGGCTCAGACAGAAGGATCTCTTACACCCGGGAGTTTGAAGTTACAGTGAGCTGTGATCACGCCACTGCACACCAGCCTGGGTGACAGAGTGACACTTTATCTCTAAACAAATAAACAAGCAATCTTGGGATTGTATCCTGGCATTTACTGGCCGTGTGGCCTTGGGCAACCCAAGTTTTCTTTCTTTCCTCACTTGAAAAATGGAAATAATGATGGAAATACCCACTTAGTAAAGGTGTTGGGAAGATGAAATGGGATTAACACAAAGTCACTCCATTGCTGTTAGGAGATGGAAGCTTAGATACTGGAGGCCAGAGTGCTTGAGGGGCTTGAGGAACTGAGAACACCCAATCTGGAGGCCAGACTGGTAGAGAGATGCTTGGGACAGCCTGAAGCCATAAAGGGCCTGATTCTGGGGGAGCGCCAGGGCCACGATGCACCAGGGCTGCTGGGGAGGGGCAGGGGCTACAAAACAATTAATTAATTAACTTGGTGTTTATATTGTTCTAGAATTTATTCCTCAGATGGGCAAATATTTTCACCTACCTTCCTACCTACCTACCTGTCTGTCTGCAGTCTGTCAGTGAGGGCCTGAGAGGAAGGTGAAGGCACAGACAGAGGATGGGCCAGAGGGCAGGTCCCAGTCATCCGGGAGCAGGCTCTGGTCAGCCAGGGAGGGAAAAGAGGGAGTAGCTCCTGGTGTCTTGGAGGCAAGCACTGCCCTGTCCCTGCTGGTCTTCCTGCTCTGCAGTCCCTAGGGGAGGCTCCTCAGGGAGGCTGAGTTCCAGGACTGTCTTGTAAACCACACAGTGAGCTGGGCAGGTGAGTCCAGGGCATGAGGGCTGTGTAGAGACCTGAGACTCAGATGCTTAGTGATATGGACACTGCCCAGCTCCATCCTATATGGAGAAGATAAAGTGGATAGTGAAGAAAGCCAGATACTCAGGCCTGTGTGGGCTTCAGACAGCAGAGGGTGCTGTGGGCTGACTCTGAGGCCTGTGCTGTGGATCCCAGACGGGAGCCACCTGCTAGGCCTAGGCTGGAGCCCTCTGCCTCTGCTCACGAGGACCAGCAGCTGTGTCCTTACAGGTCCTTAGGGAGCCACAGAACAGCCCCACCCTGGTCCACCCCATCCCAGGCTCAGCTTTCTAGGCAAGGGTCAGAGTCAGGGCCTAGGGTGGGACTTGGCCAGCCCAGGGGAGGAGGCTGGTGTGCATGAAGAGACCCTCCTTCATCCTGGGCTGCTGGCGAAAGTAATAGGGACTGGGGGAGCTCAAGCCCAGCTGAGTGTCATCAGGATGCAGAGCTGTGTGTGGGTCCCCACCAAGGCCTGAGCTCCTCCCTTTCTCCCCCTTCTCATTCACTGCACAGGTAACTAGGGCTAGGGATCAGGGCTGTGGGTGAATGGAACGAGGACCCTGCATGCTGCCCTGTCGACTGACCCACCTCTCTCACCCTCTGTTAGTCCAGGTGTCAAGGTTCTGGGCCCAGTCTGTGCTGACTCAGTGGTGTGAAGAGTTCCTGTGGGTGGGGTAAACTGCCGCCATCTATCACACTTGAAGCAGAAGCAAGGCTGGGTGTGGGCCTGTGTCCTGGTATCAGCAGTGCCCCCAAACTCCTCATCTATGACAGCAGTCATTGGTCTGCACAGGTCCCAGCGAAGTTCTCAGGTCCCAGATTGGGGATCATGGCATCCCTGAGCATCTCTGGGCTCCAGGCAGAGAATGAGGCTGATTCTTTCGCTCATCTTGAGACCCAAGGATCCATGATTAGGCAGTGCTGCAGGCCAGTGGGTAGCTGGGAGGAAAACCTTCTGTCTCCCCAGTAATATGTCTTCCCTCTTCAGCCTCCACCCCTTCAGCACAAGTTTCTGGGGAGGAGGGTCTGAAGCCCGGGTGAGAAAAAGGGTCAAGGCTGGCCTTAGGACCTGGATGGGCACAGTGACCCCCTGCTGAGAGGGCCTTCATGAGCAAGAAGGCTGGGGGAGGTCCTGAGTTGATTTTTACAATGGAAACAGACACCAGCTCCCCATCCTTGTTCAAAAGCATCTCAGGACCTTTTCCTCTGCAGATGGCAAGGGGGAGAATCTCCCTCTGAGATACATGAGAATTCCCTTCCCATGACCTGTCCTGTCACCTGGATGAATTCGTATTTGGAAACCAAATGACTCCCCAGTGCCAGGCATTACATCCTCACAGAAAACCTGCCAGAATGAGCAAGATCTTCCCTCCCTGACCCACTGGCCAGGAATCTCGGATATCAGGATGGCTGGACTAGATCACTCATGCCATCTCCCCTGACATCATCATGGTTACCGGGGGGACTCTCTGATTAATTTGGGCCACACAGTGCCTGTCCCTGGCATTGCAGTTGGGGACGCTTACAGGCTAAGTTTATGGCTGGGAGACCTAGGGTCTAGAAAGGAGAGGAATAGAACAGAAGCTTTGCCTACATGGCCCCCTGTGTGCATCACTCTTCCCTCCACCTTTATCCTAAGTTCATGATGGGTGATGTCTCCTTGAGGCTGGAACCTGGGCAGTGACATGGGCCTGTGTGTCCTCATCTCACAATGCTTCATCTTGGGCTCCCTGACCTTTCTGATATTCCTATAATGGATCAATTTCAGGCTAGGACACAGCCATGCCCATACAGGAGGCAGTGATCTGAGAATCAGGTAGTCTTAGAAGAGACAGAAAGCAAATAAACACCCTCATGTTGGCCTCCTAAGCCCAGAGGACATAAGGAAATGAAAGGAATTCAAGAAGAAACATAAGTGGTCACTGCCCACCATCACCTGGGCACCTGTTCTCCACCTGCCCCTCTCTCAGTGAGGACCAGACTCAGAGGCCTAGAGAAACACGTCTTCATCTGTTCACACCGTGGGGTGCCTCCTTCTGGACTCATCCCAAGACTGCTGCTCCCCCAGCTTACCTGTGTAACTGCTGAGAGTCTTCACAGGGACCTGGTCACAGGGTTTGGGATCAGGATCAGCCTGGCTTTAACTCAGCTGTGACCCTGCCCCTTCAGGACAAAAAGTGAACTATTAGGGCTCTAACTGAACTCTCCTGATTTACTTAAATCTTATATTCTCCTTCTCAATATCCTTCTAGGAAGTTCTGTCTCTACCCAATAATGTCAGGTCATTTCCTCAGGCCTAGAGCCATTTGATTTCCAGACTTCTATACTCACACTTATGCTCTCATTCTCTGTCATGGTTCATTTACTACGCAGCAGCTAATGAGGCCAACCATGTATCTACAGCCCATTGACATGAAAAATGGGGAGGAGAGGGTTCCTTAGATAAATACAGGGTTAGCAAAGGAAAGTTTCTTAGGAATCACTTCAGGATCCAAGAAAATTCATTCCAGAGCTTCGAGAGTTTACAACTCAAAAACAACAGCATAATATATGAGGTGGTGAATCTTCTTGGCCTTCTCAATGAATAACCTCAGAAATGGTCAGAGAATATGCTTCAAAAAGGTAAGAGTATGACTTTCACAAACATATAGTATTCACATATGTCAACAATTTTAATTGGTTTATGTATTTTGGAGAAAAACAGTATGATGATAAATAAATGTTAAAAAGCATTTTTAAAAACTCAGTGCTTATACTCCACCAGGATAGAACCTGTGAAGGAAATTTCTGTGTTGAAGATACACTGTCTTTTAGAATAATAGCAACATAGCTATGAATTTTGTCTTCTCATCTCACAATCTACAAATTAAAATCACCCCATTTATGTGAAATATCTAGAAAAATACAGGTACATTTGGACATTCCCATCTGCCACCACCCATCCATCTTCTCCTAAAGTGGAATCCCTCTGCCCCCATTCTGCTCCTCTCCACACATCTACCTGCTAACACGTGACTCCTCCCTGCCTTCCTTTCCAGATCCCTAGCAGATTGGGCCCACCAGGGGAACAAGCTCTTGGACCTGGGGATCAAAAGTGCATCTTGTTGGACTTCTGAGGACTTGCCCTGCAAGGGTCTCTTTCTGGATCACAATCCCTCTGTTCCTGGGCATCCCCTTTTGCTGGATCCTGTTATTTATCTCTGTGTTACTCCATCTAGGTCTACTCTGTGGACTTCCCTGCATCTTCACCTGAACCCCAGGAATCTTCAAGTCATGCCAATATTCCCTCAGTTCTCCTGAAATGTCTTATTTTCTCTTCTCCTGAGATCCCACCAAGTCATCCCTTCTGAGACCCCTGAGTGTAGCAGGGCCCTCTCTGGTCTCTTTGCTTCAATTATGAATGAGGAGAATGGGAGGTCCTCTTTGCCGCTCCTACCCCTGTGTTGCCATCAGGATCAGCTTCATGAGGCAGAATGAGGCTGTCTAGATCAACATGGCTTTCCCAACATTGAGCTCTGTGCCCAGCACAAGGTAGGTGCTCAGTAACTATTTGAGAAAACCTACATTTCATCACACTGGCCACATTACACTGAGTCCAGGATGGGGATGAACTGGGAGAAGCAGTGGTGGAAATATTCCTCTCTCTGCTTTCAGGCTAAGAACTGATGGGACGTTCACCAGGGAGAGCATCCCTTGGCAGAAAGGGGGCCATGGGCATCCTTGTCCTGTATGGGAGACACTGCTCAGCCTGGGGGAACCTCTGTTCATGAAGGTGGGAGAAAAAGATAAACAAAATTCACTGTGAATGTCTATGTATCATCACAGAGGAGGCAATGACAAGAAAATAGGAAGTGCAAGCCCAGTTACAATTGGTTTCTACTTTAAAAGAAATAAAATTTAATATGCCTGGTGTGTTATGTAAACACAACAAACATTTTTCGAAAACTATAAAAATATTTAAAGTAACATGGTTTACAATAAATAGGAACATTTGAAATAATGACACCCTGGAAATGCAATCCTAAAATACAGCATACATTTTATTTCAGTTATTTATCTTGACTGGTTTTATTTAAATGTCTATATTAGAGATCACTACTTCATTGTGGATTTTTGTTTGTTTGCTTGTTTGTTGTTTTTGAGATAGAGTCTAGCTCTGTCACCCAGGCTGGAGTGCAGTAGCACAATCTCGACTTATTGCAGTCTCCAGCTCCCAGGTTCAAGCACTTCTCCTGCCTCAGCCTCCCACGCACCTGGGACCACAGGTGCGCACCAGTATGCCTGGCTAATTTTTGTGTTTTTAGTAGAGATGGGGTTTCTTTTTTTTTTTTTTTTTTTTTTTGAGACCGAGTCTTCCTCTGTTGCCAGGCTGAAGTTCAGTGGCGCAATCTCGGTACACTGCAACCTCTGCCTCCCAGGTTTAAGCAATTGTCCTGCCTCAGCCTTCTGAGTAGCTGGGACTACAGGCACCCGCCACCATGCCCAGCTAATTTTCACATTTTTAATAGAGATGGGATTTCACCATGTTGCCCAGGATGGTCTTGATCTCTTGACCTCGTGATCCGCCCACCTTGGCCTCCCAAAGTGCTGGGATTACAGGCGTGAGCCACTGCACCCGGCCTAAGATGGGGTTTCATCATGTTGACCAGGATGGTCTCAAACTCCTGACCTCAAGTGATCCACTCACCTCAGCCTCCCAAAGTGCTGGGATGACAGGCGTGAGCCACAGTGCTCGGCCTAGTACATTGTTTAAATGGTGCATGTAAAACCTCATGGTACTACAACTGCCTGGTGACAGACTCACCAGAGTAAATAACTATCCTGCTGTTCTCCAACCACATGGGATTGCCCCAAAAAATATTTGTTGAATCCCAGGTGTATCATGCCAGAACTCTTGCAGTCATATATACAATCTGTTTCATTTTAATAAATAGGATTATCTTTTTTCTTCAGTTTACTGTTTTTAATGTATCATATTCTAGATTTCATTACACATCAAAGATGAATAATTTCTATCATCTTTCAGACATGCCCAAAACACTCATTAGCGATTTTGAACAGTATTATTTCCTAAACATCCTAGTTGGAATGGTTGATCCTAAAAGCTACCACGTGTCAGGCTCACTTAAGTACAGACTCTGGTCAAAACAAGCTGAAGTTTTAACTCTTCCATCTTCAAATACTGAGCATATTTGCTTGTTTTGCTCTTTAGCAAAACACTGCAAAGTCATTTGCCAGGATCCCCCGCAGATTGGCATTCAGTGATGGAGAACAGACTCCTAGGTGAGATCCCTGGTCACAGGATCCCGATGACTGTGACTGCAAGTCTGGAAAAGAAGAGACAGAACAAAGATTTACCAGCATAACCCTCTGAGAATGTGCCCCAGGTATCCTGGAGGGAAGAGCTCCCTATCGACCCAGCACTGCAGAATCCACAGAGGAAGGACAGCTCTGGCCACCAGGGAGCAGCCACACGAGAGGAGAGGACCCGGTGTCCCCACAGGTGAGGAAATGAGTCCATGGGGCTGGTCACTGCTCTCGATTTCATTCTGACATAAGAGGACTTTGTGTAGTCACCACCTGAGTCCTATACAGTGAACAGCCAAGGAGACATGGACAGATTCACCCCTGAGGAACCCAGTAGAATGTGAAGTCTGCCCTGAGCTCACGAAAAAAAAGACTCAGGGGGCTGCCTGGCCTGGCCCTGATGGAGGGGGCCATGGACAGAACAACGGGGAGTGAGGGGTGTCTCTGAGAGGCTCTGGTCACCTTGTTATACAATGATGGTGTACATGACCAAAATGGACACCAGGGGATGCCTGCGTACCATTACTGAGAAGACTGGGTGTGATGAGAGCAGGACCAGCGCCACCTGTCCTGCTTGGTGCCCTATGCTTAGGGCTTACAGATGTCAACTCTGCACCCCCTGGGACCACATAGCCCCACCCCTGGCACTCTCTGACATCCTCAGGCAGAGGAGCCTGACCCAGGGCCCAAGGTGGGATCAGAAAGCTGGAGGGTCTGATTTGCATGGTTGGACCCTCCTTCTCTCAGAGTATAAAGAGGGGCAGGGAGAGACTTGGGGAAGCTCTGCTTCAGCTGTGAGCACAGAAGGCAGGACTCGGGACAATCTTCATCATGACCTGCTCCCCTCTCCTCCTCACCCTTCTCATTCACTGCACAGGTGCCCAGACACAGGGTCAGGGGAGGGGTCCAGGAAGCCCATGAGGCCCTGCTTTCTCCTTCTCTCTCTAGACCAAGAATCACTGTGTCTGTGTCTCTCCTGCTTCCACGGTCCTGGGCCCAGTCTGTGTTGACGCAGCCGCCTTCAGTGTCTGCGGCCCCAGGACAGAAGGTCACCATCTCCTGCTCTGGAAGCAGCTCCGACATGGGGAATTATGCGGTATCCTGGTACCAGCAGCTCCCAGGAACAGCCCCCAAACTCCTCATCTATGAAAATAATAAGCGACCCTCAGGGATTCCTGACCGATTCTCTGGCTCCAAGTCTGGCACCTCAGCCACCCTGGGCATCACTGGCCTCTGGCCTGAGGACGAGGCCGATTATTACTGCTTAGCATGGGATACCAGCCCGAGAGCTTGCACAGTGCTCCAGGCCAATGGGGAACTGAGACAAGAACCCCCTTCCTCCTCCGCCAGGAGGGTGAGTGCCTGCAGCTGCTGCTCACACCTGACCTGTAGCTTCTGCTGCTGTAGCTTCCCCCATGGGCCTCGGGGCAGCCAGGGCCTTGCCTAGGAGTGGAGGCTCCACCACTTTTGTCCTCAGAGTCAGGAACAGGGACCCCAGGAGACAGAATATCCTGCTCCTCAGCTTGGGACACAGGGTCTCTGCACTGAAATCGTGGGCTGAGGTGGCAGGTCCAACTGTGTCTTCACAGTCCTTCCTGTGCCTGCCCATGGTGTGGGGACGGAGTGAGGAAGTGTGGGCCATTGAGCTTCACTAGAGGCCTGAGGGAGCAGAGGTGCTCCCGAAGACCTGGACTCCTTCCGTCACCCTCCTCCCATCACTCTCCTCACTGTAGCTGTGGCCAGGTGAGGGCTCAGGGCTACTTGAGGACCTTGCTCAGCCCAGGGCCTCCATCCCAGGCATTGTTTCCAAACTCTGTAAGGGCTGTCTCTGAATCTGTAGAAACATTTATTTCTATGTGCCCAGGACTGGGTTAGAGGGCACCAACCCCACCCCTTGCAAACTGCTCATCACCTCTCAGTGAAACAATGAGGAGAAGAAAGAGTTAGAAATCAGAAGCCTCCCCAAGGCTCCCCTCTCTCCTCTCAACCAGCCTCCCCTTGGCTTCCTCCTTCCACAGAAATAAAGAGGAGGCAGCCACAGACGGCAAGGGAAGGTCCAGGCATTATACCAGGCAGTGGAGCCAGCCAGTCCCCCCAGATGGTGGAGGGAGGTGGTGGAGGTGTCTGGGACCAGAAAATAGTGAGGACCCTCTTACTAAAGTGAGGAGGGGTGGCATAAACTGAGGCTCAGATGGTGGACCAGATCTCCTGAGCCATCTACTCATTTCTTCTTGAGTTCCAGTTTCAGTAAGAATAGGATAAAAAAAAAAGTCTGAAGAGGTTCCTTTCCTCAGATAAGAATTCGTAGAGGATTATTGCCCACTCAGGCATTAAGGGGAGGCTGAGCCTCCCTCTCAGGCCAATAGAACTGGGGGCTTTCATGGGAATTTGATTGTACTGAAGCTCCCAGACTCTGACATCTAAGACTTATGCTCTCGTAGCAGAGCCCAGCACTGATACCAAAATGGATAAAGGCTGATTGATAAGCCTGGAATATCCTAGCTGACACCGACTTGTGGAAAAGAGAATCAAGTTAGAATATTGATGTGATAAGGTGGCATCGCACAGTGAGGAGAGGAGAGCTTGTGTGGGGGAGGGTAGAGGAGCCATTAGAGGGTTGGACAAAGAGGACACAGAATCTGAGGTAAGTTTGTGAGGAAAACTCCAGATGCTTCAGAGAAGATGGACAAGGAGGTAGGCAGTGTGAAGGCCATGGGACCAGCTCTAGTCACCGGGAGTGAGTGGTGAGATTCAGCACCAGTGTCTGGGGAGGAGGTACTGAAGCCTGGGTGAGGGGAGATGCTCAAGGCTGGCCTTAGGACATGAGTGGGGCACAGTGATCACACTGCTGGGGGGTCCTTCAAGTGCAAGGGGGCTACAGGAAGGCTCGAGCTCATTGTCACAATGAAAACTTAGACAACAGCTCCCCAGACTTGTTCAAAGGTGTCACAGGACTTTTTCCTCTCCACATGGCAACGGGGAGAGGAAAACTTATCTCTGAGATATATAAGATGTTTGTTCTCCATAACCTCTCCTGTCCCCTGGCTGAATTCCTATTTGGAAACAAAATGACTCTCCAGTTTTACATATGACATCCTCACTAAAAAAAAAGTTCCAGAATGAGAAAGATCTGCCCTCCCTGACCCACTGGTGAGGAATCTCAGCCTTCAGGACAACCAGACGAAATCGTTCATGCCATCTCCCATGACAGCATCATGGGGACCAGGGAGCATATCTTATGGGTTTGGGCCACACACTGCCTGTCCCAAACATTGCAGCTGGGGACACTTATATGCTGAACTCATGGCTGGGAGATCTGGGGTCTAGACATGACAGGAAGAGGAAAAAGACCAGGAGCTCTGCCTAAGTAGCCCCAGTGTGTGAATCACTCTACCCTCCACCCTCAACTTCAGTTCGTGATGGGTGTTGTCTTGCGAAAACTGACAGCTGGGCTGGGACACAGGCAAGAGAGACTCTGACCCACAAATCTCCATCGTGGGCTCTCTGGCCTTTCTGATATTCTTTTTGCACATCAATTCTGGGCCAAGACACATCCATGCTCATCAAGAAGGCATTGATAGGAGAATCAGGTAGCCTCCAGAGAGACAGGAAGCAGATAAACACCCTCATGTTGGCCTCCTAAGCTCAGAGGAGAAAAAAAGGGAAAGAAGTTCAAGAAGCCACACTAGAAGCCACTGATCACCATCACCTCGGCACCTGTCCTCCATCTGCCCCTCTTTCAAGTAAGGACCAGACTCAGGGGACAGCACCTGCACCTCCCTTTCTGTCCATGCACTGTGTAGGGAGCCTCCTTCTGCTCTCATCTCAAGGCGACTGCTCCGCCAGGTCAGCCGTGTCACTGCTGAGAGTCTTACCTCAGTCCTGGTCACAGGGTCTTGGATCAGCAGCAACCTGGCTTTGATTCAGCTGTGACCCTGCCCCTTCAGGACACAAAGCCGATGATTAAAGCCTAACTGAACTCTCCTAGATTTCTCAAACCTTAGATTCTCCTTCTCTGTGTCCCTCTAGAAAGTGCCACCTCTACCAAATAATTTCATGTTATTTCCTCAGGTCTAGAGCTATTTGATTACCAAAATTCTATACTCACTCTTCTGCTCTCATTCCTTGTCATGGTCCATTTTCCACTCAGGAGCTAATGATGCCAACCCTGTATCTACAGGCCATTTTCACAAAAAAAAAAAAGAAATGAGAGGGTTCCTTAGATAAATACAGGGTTAGCAAAGAAAAGTTTCATTACCCCTTAGGAATTACTCCAAGATCTAAGAAAATTAATTCCAGAGCTTCAAGAGTTTACTCCTCAGAAACAACAGCATGAATACATTAGGTAGTGAATGTTCTTGGTCTTCTCAATGAATAACCTCTGAAAGGTTCAGAGTATACGTTTCAAAAAGATAAGTGCATAACTTTCACAAAAATGTAATCTTAACTTATGTCATCAATTTTAATTGGTATATATATTTCTGGAAAAAAAAGCAGTATGATGGTAAAAGAAATGTAAAAAAGCCTTTGTAAAACCCAGTGCTTACAGTCCACCAGGATAGCACCTGTGAAGCAAATTTTCTTTGCTGAAGATACACCGCCTTTTAGAATAATAGCAAGATAGTTTGAATTTGTCTTCTTCTCTCACAACAATCTAAAAATTAACATGATCCCATTTATATGAAATATCTAGAAATATATCTGTACATGTGGACATTCCCATCGCACACCTCCCATCCAGGCTGTCCTAAAGTGGCATCTCCTCTTCTTCTGCTCATGTTCTCCCCCTCTCCTCACCTCTCCTGCTGACACGTGGCTCCTCCCTGCCTTCCTCTCCAGTAGCCCCAGCAGATCAGGCCCAACCAGTCAACAAGCTCCTGGACTTGGGGAACAAAAGTACATCTTCTTGGATTTCTGAGGACTTGCCCTGCCAGGGTGTCTTTCTCAATCCAATCTCTCCTTCCCGGCAGTCCACTTCTCCTAGATCCTGTAATTTATCTAATCTTATTCATCTGTATCTACTTCGTGGACTTCCTTACATCTTCACCTGAACACCAGGAATCTTCAGGTCATGCCCATATGCCCTTGGTTCTCCTGTAGTCCCTTCTTCCTTCTTCCCCTGTGATGCCACCAAGTCGAAGTCTCTTCTCAGACCCTGGAGTGCAGCAGGGACTTCTCTGGTCTCTGCCCCAGGGATTAAGGGGGTGGAAGAGTGGACTCCTGTGCCCTTCCTATGCCTGTGTTTTCATCAGGGTTAGCTGCAAAAGGTAGGGATTAGGCTGTCTAGGTAGGGATTATGGCATTAGGTAGGGATTATGGCATTTCCAGAGCTGAGCTCTATGCCCAGCAAAAGATACGTGCTCAGCAACTACTTGACAGAGACCTACCTCTTATCACATGGGACACATTATACTGGACCCAGGATGGGGCTGAACTGGGAGAGGTAGCTGTGGACCTGCTCCTCGCTCTGCCCTCACCCTAAGAGCTGATGGGGCATCCACCAGGAAGAGCATTCCTGGGCAGGGAGAGGGCCATGAGCAGCCTTGTCCTGTATGTGAGACACAGCTCAGCCCGGTCACAAGATCCAGATGACTATGACTGCAATTCAGGGGAAGTAGAGAATGAAGATTGACCAGAATAACCCTCTGGGAATGTGCCCTGGGCCTCCTAGAGGGAAGAGCTTCCCTTCTATTCAGCGCTGCAGGATCCACAGAGGAAGGAGAGCCCTGGCCACCAGGGAGGAGCCACATGAGAGGACCCGGTGTCCCCACAAATGGGAACGTGAGTCCATGAAAGTCGGTCCCTGCTCTGGGTTTGATTGTGACCTATGAGGACATTGTGTAGTCACCACCTGAGTCCTCTACAATAAACAGTGAGAGCGCCACGGACAGATTCACTCCCGAGGAGCCCAGTAAAGTGGGAGGACTGAGGTCACAGGGAGAAGACACAGGCACCACCTGGCCTGGCCCTGACAGGGGGCAGTGGACAGAACAGTGCGGAGGCAGTGGGGTCTCTAGAGGCTCTGGTCACCTTGTCATACCATGGTTTGTCTCGGTCTGGACACTAGAGGGCACTTGGGGACCATTCCTGAGAAGACTGAGGTTGATCAGAGCAGAACCAGCCACCTGTCCTGCCTAGTGTCCTCTGCTCAGGGCTCACAGCTGCGTCCTTTACACCCGTGGGACCACACAGCCCCACCCCTGCCACCCCCTGACATCCTCAGGCATAGGGACCTGACCCAGGGCCCAGGGTGGGATTAGAAAGCTGGGGGTCTGATTTGCATGGATGGACCCTCCCACTCTCAGAGTATGAAGAGGGGCAGGGAGAGATTTGGGGAGGCTCTGCTTCAGCTGTGGGCACAAGAGGCAGCACTCAGGACAATCTCCAGCATGGCCTGGTCTCCTCTCCTCCTCACTCTCCTCGCTCACTGCACAGGTGACTGGATACAGGTCCAGGGGAGGGGCCCTGGGAAGCCTATGGATTCTTGCTTTCTCCTGTTGTCTCTAGAAGCCGAATAATGATGCCTGTGTCTCTCCCACTTCCAGGGTCCTGGGCCCAGTCTGTGCTGACGCAGCCGCCCTCAGTGTCTGGGGCCCCAGGGCAGAGGGTCACCATCTCCTGCACTGGGAGCAGCTCCAACATCGGGGCAGGTTATGATGTACACTGGTACCAGCAGCTTCCAGGAACAGCCCCCAAACTCCTCATCTATGGTAACAGCAATCGGCCCTCAGGGGTCCCTGACCGATTCTCTGGCTCCAAGTCTGGCACCTCAGCCTCCCTGGCCATCACTGGGCTCCAGGCTGAGGATGAGGCTGATTATTACTGCCAGTCCTATGACAGCAGCCTGAGTGGTTCCACAGTGCTCCAGGCCCGGGGGGAACTGAGACAAGAACCCACTTCCTCCTCTGCCAGGAGGGTGAGCCCCGGCAGCTGCTGCTCAGGCCTGGCCTGTGGCTTCTGCGGCTGCTGCTTCCCTCATGGTCCCAGGGGCATCCAGGGCCCTGCCTGGGAGTGGAGGCTCCTCCTCCCCTTCTGTCCTCAGAGTCAGGAACAGGGAATCCAGGAAGCAGAATATCCCTCTCCCTTAACTTGGGACACAAAGTCTCTACACTGAAGTTCTGGACTCAGGTGGCAGATCCAGTTGTGTCACCTCAGACCCACCTCTGATAGGGAACCCATGTATTCATTATTCTCCTTTCCCCAATTCCAGGAGTTTCCGGAGTGGTGTCTTCCTCTCCCTGCTCCTCAATGTGAGTCCCTGTGTTTCTTTTCTCCCAGGCCTATTCTTTTTTTTTTTTTTAACAAAACTCCTTTCATGAAGGAAAAATGCACACCTAATAAACCAGCTGAATTTATAGCATTAAATTCGGCCCATTTTGGCATTTTTCTGGATCTTTGAAAATATCACCACCACTGAGCTATGCAACCTCTGACTAACCCCAGCAGCCCTTCATGATGCTTTGTCATCTCCTTCACTCCCCGAATGCCCTCCTGGGCAGTCAGGAATCTGCCTTTGCCACTACTGTATGGTTTCCATTTTCTGAAACTTACTAGTGTTATCAAACACTATCTTCCCATTTGTTCGAGCTTCTTTCACTCTGCACACTTCTTTTCAGATTCTCCCTGCTGTTGCTGAATTGCATCCCATTCTACAGAGGGCTCATTACAACCTTTGAGGGTCTAGGACATTCTCTTCTGATTCTATTTATTTACTTATTTATTTTAAAGTTTGAATTCATTGTCCATCAAATCAAACTCTACGGGTGATGTTCATCTAAGGTGACAGGAGTCAGTGAGGGCTTCTCAGGATTCTTGCTTCTTCATCTCTTCCCTCTAATTCTTTCTATAATGGGAGAATTTCTTATCTTTTTAAAGTTTTTCTATTTATTATTTTATGTTGGCTTTTAAGGTTTTTAGTGTTTTTTAAAATTTTTTTATTTCAATAGGTTTTTGGGAAACAGATGTTGTTTTGTTACATAAATAAGTTTGTTAGTGGTGATTTCTGGGATTTTGGTGCACTCATCACCCAAGCAGGGAACACTGTACCCAATGTGTAGTCTTTTATCCCTCACCCCATCCCACCCTTTCTCCTGAGTCCCCAAAGTCCGTTGTATCATTCTTATGCCTTTGTGTCCTCATAGCTTAGCTCCCATTTATGAGTGAAAACATATGATGTTTGCCCTTTTATTCCTGAGTGAATTCACTTATAATGATAGTCTCCATTCCATCCGGGTTTCTGTTAATGCCATTATTTCATTCCTTTTTAAGGCTGAGTAGCAGTCTACATATATATATATATATATATATACCACATTTGCTTCATCCACTCATTGATTGATGGGCATTTGGGTTGGTTCTACGTTTTTGCAATTGCAAATTGTGCTGCTATAAACATGAGTGTTCAAGTAATTTTTTCATGTAATGACTTCTTTTCCTCTTGGTAGATACCTAGTAGTGAGATTGCTGGAACAAATGGTAGATCCAGTTCTTTAATGAATCTCCACACTCTTTTCCATGGTGGTTGTACTAGTTTACATTCCCACCAACAGTGTAAAAGGGTTCCCTTTTCACCACATCCATGCCAGCATCAATTATTTTAATTTTTTTATTATGCCCATTCTTGAGGGAGTAAGGTGGTATTGCATTGTGACTTTGATTTTCATTTCTCTAATCGTTAGTGATCTTGAGCATTTTGCCATATGCTTGTTAGCCATTTGTATATCTTCTTTTGAGAATTGTCTATTCATGTCTTTAGCCCACTTTTTGATGAGATTGTTTGTTTTTTTCTTGCTGATTAGTTTGAGTTCTTTGTAGATTCTGGATATTAATACTTTATTAGATGTATAGATTGGGAAGATTTTCTTTCACTCTGTGGGTTGTCAGTTAACTCTGCTGACTGTTTATTTTGCTGTGCAGAGGCTATTTCATTTAATTCAGTCCCATCTATTTATCTTCGTTTTTAATGCATTTCATTTTGGATTCTTGGTTATAAAGTCTTTGCTTAAGCCAATTTCTTCTAGAATTTCTAAGGTTTCATGTCTTAGATTTAAGTCTTTGACCAATCTTGTGTTAGTTTTGTATAAGATGAGAGATGAAGATCCATTTTCATTCTTCTACGTGTGACTTGCCTATTATCTCAGCACCATTTGTTGAATAGCGTCTCCTTTTCCCACTTTATGTTTTTGTTTGCTTTGTCAAAGATCAGTTAACTCTAAGTATTTTGCTTCATTTCTGCATTCTCTATTCTGTTACATCGGTCTATGTGCCTATTTTTATACCAGTACCATGCTGTTTTGGTCATTATGGCTTTATAGCATAGTTTGAAGTCAGGTAATGTGATGCTTCCAGATTTGTTATTTTTGTGTAGACTTGTTTTGGCTACCGGGGCTCTTTCTTGGTTTCATATGAATTTTAGTTCTATGAAGTTCTGTGAAGAATGATGGTGGTATTTTGATGGAAATTGTATTAAACTTGTAGATTGTTTTGGCAGTATGGTCATTTTCACAATATTCATTCTATACATCCATGAGCATAAAATGTATTTCCATTTGTGTCATCTGTGACTTCTTTCAGCAGTGTTTTGCAGCTTTCCTGGTAGAGGTCTTTCACTTTCTTGGTTAGGTATATTTCTAAGTATTTTAGTTTTTTGGCAGCTATTGTAAAAGGGGTTGAGTTCTTGCTTTGATTCTCAGCTTGGTTGCTGTCGTTGTATAGCACTGCTACTGATTTGTGTCCCTTAATTTTGTATCCTAAAACTTGCTGAATACTTTCACTAGTGCTAGAAGCATTTGGGGTGAGTCTTCAGGGTTTTCTATGTATACAATCATATTATCAGCAAACAGTGACAGTTTGACTTCCTCCTTATCAGTTTGGATATCCCTGATTTCTTTCTCTTGTCTGATTGCTCTGGCTAAGACTTCCAGTACTACGTTGAATAGAAGTGGTGAAAGTGGGCATCCTTTTGTTGTTCCATTTCTCAGGGGAAATGCTTTTAACTTTTCCCCATTGAGTATAATGTTGGCTGTGGGTTTGCCATAGATGGCTTTTGTTGCCATAAGGTATGGTCCCTTCTATGCTGATTTTGCCAAGTTTGAATCATAAAGGATGCTGGATTTCGTTAGATGCCTTTTCTGCATCTATTAAGATAATCATGTGATTTTGTGTTTTAATTCTGTTTATATGGTGTATCACATTTATCAACTTGTGGATGTTAAACCATCTCTGCATTTCTGGTATAAAAGCAATTTGATCATGGTAGATTATCTTTAAGACAGCTGTTGGATTTGGGTAGCTAGTATTTTGTTGAGGATTTTTGCATCTAGATTCATCAGAAATATTGGTCTGTAGTTTATTTTTGTTATGTCCTCCCTGGTTTTGGTATCAGAATGATACTGTCTTCACAGAATGATTTAGAAAGGATTCCCATTTTCTCTATGCTGTTGAATAGAGTCAGAAGGATTGGTACCAGTTCTTCTTTGAATATCTAATAGAATTCAGCTGTGAATCCATCTGGTCCTGGATTTTTTGTTGTTTGCAATTTTTTTTATTACCATTTCAATCTAGCTGCTTGTTATTGGTCTGTTCAGAGTTTCTACATCTTCCTGGTTTAACCTAGTAGTGTTGTATATTTCCAGGAGTTCATCCATCTCCTTTAAGATTTCTAGTTTACGTACATAAAAGAGTTCATAGTAGCCTTTAATGATCTTTTGTATTTCTGTGGTATCAATAGTAATATCTCCCGTTTCATTTCTAATTGAGCTTATGTGGGTCTTCTCTCTTCTTTTCTTGGTTAATCTCGTTAATGGTCTGCCAATTTTATTTATCTTTTCAAAGAACCAGCTTTTTGTTTCATTTATCTTTTGTATTTTTTTTTGTTTTGACTTCATTTAGTTCTGCTCTGATCTTCATTATTTCTTTTCTTTTCCTGGGTTTGGGTTTGGATTGTTGTGGTTTCTCCAGTTCTGTGAGGGGTGACCTTAGATTTTCTACTTGTGCTCTTTCAGACTTTTTGATGTAGGTATTTAATGCTATAAACTGTCCTTTAAGCACCACTTTTGCTGTATCCCAGAGCTTTTGACAGGTTGCATTAAGATTTAGAACAATTGCAATCTTACTATCAATCAACAGCTTTTTAATTCCTGAGGATGTGACCTCATTTAATCCTGACAATAGCTTTATTATTGCTTTTCAGGCAGTAGACCGTGATTGAAGAGGTAATGCTTTGTGGCCTGGAGGTAAGGTTCTAAAATTTATCAAATATTAAATTGGTGCACAAGTAATTGCAGGTTTTACAAATAAAAGTAATGGCAAAACCCACAAGGACTTGTGCACCAATGTGATATAAACACTGGAGGTCAGTTAAATTTGAATTCAGTAAAAACAATGATAAAGAATCTGTATGTGTATCACCCACACAGTATTGTTCAATTGTAATACAAACAACTGGGTGCCCTGCATTTTATCGGGAAACTCCACACAGGGTTCGCAGCTTGAAAGAGGCAGAGCTGTGGCAGGCCTGCCCTTCCTGATGCCAGGTCTAGGTGCTTAACGTCAAAGACAGAGCTTCTCTAAGAGAGCTACCCTCAAGTGAGCATGTCAGTTGGCACTAAATACATGTGATATGATCCCCAGTCAATGATCCCCACTCACTTCCCTAATTCTTTCTATTATCCTTTAAGTTTGCAGACTCAGGGCCTCCCCAGAAATTGCTGCAGCCTGAGTTCTGGACCTGGGACCGCATGTCCTGTCACAACCAGATGCAAAAGGGCTCTTTAGTCCCTACACAGAATGGCTTCAGCCAGGAGAGCATAAATAACATGTAAGATTAGAAGAGCTCAGAGGGGCTCTCCTTCTGTCCCATGACAGATGAAACTTCAGGGCTCTGATGCTTGTCAGGGAATCTCCTTCAGTGAGGCCAAGATCCCAGGACTTTACTAAAATTAGCAGAGTGGACCAGACAGGCATGTCATGGTACAGGAATTGTGTTCAGAACAATAAGTGCAGATGCATCTTAACAAGGGCCTTCACGTTCTATCTTTGGTGAAAAAGGAAATAGACAAAGGCATGGAGAAACTGAAGGACTCAATGGGTCTGGGACTGAGGTAGCGCTGAGTGCTTTGGGCTTGTCCTGGAGCAGTCTGCAGATGATGACAGCTGGGAAGTCCACCCCTGCTGTGACCTTGTTTCATCTGCCCACTGGATCAGTGGCTGTGTCCTCACAGGAAAGCTGGCTGTAGCCAGACTGGCCTTCTCCATCCCACCTGGGAAATGTATTCAGATGACTCTCTGGGGTGAGGTTCTACTAAGGGCTTGGGAGTTATGAGGAGGGGGCTGATTTGCATGAAAGAACCATTTCACCCCCTTTCCTTCATCTAAAACCCATTAATAGAAACTTCAGGGCCATTCATAGAAGTCCAGCTGGTCTCCTACATTTGTGGGGCATAAAGGATCAATGCCTGATGAATGCCTGATCAATCTAAAGGAAGAGGGGCTATCAGCAGGTAGTGGTCAGAGTGAGAAAGGAACTGACTTTTTTGAGAGATTCATCAACACAGCCACCAACTCTGGGACAAATGGGGTGACTCTCTGTAACTGTCACCCCAAATTACCCACAGGACACTGAGCCAGTCCCCTCATTCTATTGCTTCTGGTTCTAGTCCATTCCCCTATTGTCCCTAAACACGTTGCCCATGTCTGAGTCCAGGGTGGCAGGGATACCTCCATCCCAGTCAACATCTACAGAGGGCCTCTTCTGTTCCTCTCTCACCTCATGCAGGTTACTACTGTTGTGGGTCTGGTGGAGTGGCCCCTGGAGAACACAAGGTATCCCTTCCTCTGGAAAGCCAGGCATGTAATAGACATGGTATGGGTTGATGTAGAGCAGAGTGGCTCATCCAGATGCAAAGCAGTAAGACCTTGGCTACAGAAAATTATTTCACAAAATTCCACACCCTTTCATGACAAAAACACTCGATGAACTATAAATAGAAGGAAACTACCTCAACATAGTAAAGACCATCTGTGAAACTCCCATAGTTTACATCACATAAAATCTGAACAACCAGAGACATTTTCTGTAATATCAGGAACAAACCAAGGAGGCATACTTTCACATCTTCAATTCCAAATATTATTGGAAGACCTAGGCAGAGCATTTAGCCTAGAAAAAGAAATAAACAGAATAAAAACTAGAAATAAAAGTATAAAATTATCTCTGTTTTCAGATGACATAATGTCATATGTAGAACGCCATTAAAAGACCCAGAAAATAATTCTGAAAGAATGATTAAGTGAATTTGGTAATGTTTCAGGATACAAAATCACCACTTAAGAACATCTCATGGCTAGGCATGGTGGCTGACGCCTATAATCCCAACACTAGGGAGGCTGAGGTGGGAGAATTGCTTGGGGTCAACAGTTCAAGAACAGCATGAGCAACAAAGCAAGAACCTGTCTCTACCAAAAATAAAAAAATAAAAAGGAAGGAAAGTCACTTGTATTTCTATACTTAACCAAACAGGACACCACCCAAAATGAAATTAAGAAAACAATTCAAGAGGACCCACAGACCCTCTGAAAGAAGGGGACTGCACCCGCAGGACCCGGGAGACACCGCAAATACTGTGAGTGCCTCAACTGCGGAAGTGGGAAAGGGAGACCCTCCTCTCCCAAACACACACCCCTACTGAAGAATGTGAAAGTCTGTTAGCAGGAGAAGTTCTCAACTTTACCTGGAACGGAGTTAAGTTAGACAGCCAAGCTCAGTGAAATACACAGGTGTAGGAGGTAGCGGGGAGGCCCTGGGAACTTGCTGAATCCCCAAGCAACCCATTCCTTTCTGGCACCACAGGAATACATCAGGAAGGAGGACAGACAAGCAGCGGGTAAAACTCCACGGGAAGAAGGACTTCCCTAGCTGAACTTTGCAACAATTCGAATCGGGTGAGAGGCCTCCTGGCTCTAGTATCCATGGCACTAGTATCCATGGCTGAGAGGCCCATGGATAGTTCACATCACAGGACTCTGTGCAGAAACCCCCAGTACCAGCCCAGAGCCGGGTAGACTTGCTGGGTGGCTAGACCCAGAAGAGAAACAAAAATCACTGCAGTTCAGCTCGCAGGAAGACATCCACAGGAAAAGGGGGAGAGTGCTACATCAAGGGAACACCCCATGGAACAAAAAAAATCTTACCAGCCTTTAGCCCTAGACCTCTCCTCTGACAGAGCCTACCAAAATGAGAAATAACTTGGGGGGAAGAGTGGGAGAGGGGCGAGGAGTAAAAGACAACAAACATGGTACAGTGTATACTGCTCAGGTGATGGCTGCACCGGGATCTCACAAATCACCCCTAAAGAACTTACTCATGTAACCAAACACCATCTTCCCAATAACTTACAGAAAAAAAAAAAAGAATATTATAACAATGGAATCATATATTATGCAGCCTTTCAGCATTGGCTTTTTTCACGGAGCACAATTTCCTTGAGATATATCTGAGTTGCGTTGTATCAATTATATAGTTTGTTTCTTTTTATTGCTGAGTAATGTTTCATGGTACGGTTGTATCAAGCTTGTTTAACCATTCGCCAGTTGAGGAACATGTGGATTATTTCCAGTTTATTTTTTTGGCTATTAGGAATAAAACTACTATGAACATTCTTATACATTAAAAAAAAAGAAAACAATTCAAATTTCATCATTAGAATGAGTAAAATGCGGCTGGCACGGTATCTGGTGCCCATAATCCCAGCACTTTGGGAGGCTGAGACGGGGGATCATCTGAGGTCAGGAGTTGTTAGAGACCAGCCTGGCCAATATGGTGAAACCCTGTCTCTACTAAAAAAAGATTAAAAAAAATTAGCTGGGTGGGTGGCACACTCAGTGATTGCAGCTACTCATGAGGCTGAGGCACAATAATCACTTGAACCCAGGAGACAGAGTTTGCAGTGAGAGGAGATGGTGCCACTGCACTCTAACCTAGGTGACACAGTGAGACTCTGTCCCAAATAAATAAATAAATGTAAAATACTTAAGAATAAACTTAAGAAGGTAAAACACTTGCACATTGAAAACAATAAAACATTGCTAAAAGAAATTGAAGAATACACAAATAAATGGAAAGACGTTTTTGATTATGTATTGGAAAACTCAATATTGTTAAGATACCAGTAGAAACCAAAATAAAATATACTATAGAGTCATCACAATCTTTATCAAAATTCCAATACTACTTGGTACAAGAATGGATATAATTCTAAAATCCAGATACCCAAAATAGCCAAAATAATCTTGTAAAAGAAGAACGTTGTTGGAATCCTGACACTTCCTGATTCCAAAGCATACTAAAAAGATACACTAATCAAAACAGAGTGGTACATATAGACAGACATACAGACAAATAGAATAGAATTGAGTGCCTTGGAGAAAACTCTCAGTTATATGGTCAAATGATTTTCAACAAGCTTGCCAAGACCATTCGTGAGGGAAAGAACAGTCTTTTTAACAAATGCTGTTGAGAAAACTGGATATCCACATGCAATCTGGAAGTGAATCAAAGACACAAATGGGAGAGCCACAACTGAATCTTAAAAGAAAACATTGGGAAGTAGGTCCACAACGTAGGGTTTGGAAATGATTTCTTGGATATGGCACAAAAAAGACAGGGAAAACATAGAAAAAGAAGAATATAGATAAATTGCATTTCATCAAACTGTAAAACTTATGTGCAGCAAAGGACACTACCAACAGAGTGAAAATGCAGATAATAGAATGGGAAAGATTGTTACAAACTTTATATCTGATAAGGCATCCAAGCTATAGAAAGAACTTCTACAACTCAACAGTAACAACAAAAATAGGAATAACCCGAAAAAAACAAGGACAAAGGACTTGAGTAGATATTACTACAAAAAAAGATCTACGAATGTCCAATAAGTACATGAAAAGATGTACAGCATCACCAATTATTAGTACACTGCAAATCAAATCACAATAATATACAACTCTATACCCATTAGGATGGCATTAACCAAATAACAGAAAATTAAAAGTTCTAGCAAAGATGTTTAGAAATTGCAACTGTTACGATTTGCTGGAGAGACTGCAGAATGATGCTTCCACTGTGGATGCCTTATGGCTGTTCCTCATAAAATCAAACATAGAATTACCATTTTATCAGAATTTTCACTTCTGGGAATGTGCCTGAAAAAATTGAAAGCAAGATCTCAAAGAGAAAATTGTACATCCTCGTTCATAGCAGCATTGTTCACAATAGCTAAAAGGTGGAGGCAGCCCAAGTGTCAACTAATGAATCAACAAGATATATTATACACACACAAGGGAATATTATTCAGCCTTAAAAAGAAAGTCTGACCCATGCGATGGCATGGATGAACCTTTAAGACATCATGCCGTCAGAAATAAGCTGACTTCAAAAGGACAAAAATTGTTTGCCAGCCCTTATATGAGGTACCTAGAATAGTTAACTCCACAGTGACAAGAAGTAAAACGATGTTTCCCAGGTATGAAGTTTTGGTTTGGGAAAATAAAAAATTTGTGGAGATGAGTGGCAGTACTGTGGTTGTACAACAGTGTTAATTTACTTAATGTCACTGAAGTATACATTTGAAAATTGTTGAAATAATGTATTTTGTGTATGAATATTTTACTACAGCCAAAAAGAGGAAGATTTATGTTTGGTGCAGTTTCTCTACCTCCAAGAACAGTGGAAACCTACAGGACTAGGAGAGTGTGCATGAGTATCCAGGACACTCTTCCTTTTATGCCAGCCCCACAGCATCCAGGACACCCTTCCTTTTATTCCAGCCCTGCAGCATCCTAACAAGTTAAGAGAGTCAGACGTACCTCATTACAGGTGACTCAGAATAATATGAGAAAGTCTAGAGGTGGCCATGATGTTAGCGGTGGGTGCCCAACCCAGCCCAGGAGCAGCCGCAAATGCAACAGTGGCCAAAGAAGGGGAGATGAAGCTGGTGGCAGAGGTAGCAGCCCCTCCAGCTGGAGAGGGGCATCTGCTTCTGTACAAAATGGTTCACAGTTGATAAGTCTTGCATAGATGCCTCATCGTTTACCTCATGACCAACTACAGTTTTCATTGCAATGTACGTTATCATAGCAGTAATGTCTATTTCCTCCTGTAGCAAGCAAACATGAACGAAACGTGCTTTACTGCTTTGTCCAACAGGACATGTTAGTCCCAAACACAGGCTGAATGTTTAAAGGTAACGTTCTCTAAAGATAAGGATATTATACCATTTATTGATAAATACGGGGATTGCATGATGACCATTCAGACACTTGGAATAATTACTTGGCTAAATAACATTGTTTAAACAATGAGTAAATTTAGTTATTCTTTGCAGAGCAAAAAAGATCCAAGTTTCACCAGTCCCTTGGCAAACACTACATTTCAAACTATGGAAGGGAGACATCCTGAAATTTTGTGCTACTCTTTCTGAAGACACAGAAACAGTCAAGTCATACCTAATACTTATGAGCATAAAGCTTTGATAAAATTCAAGAATTATTTGCATTTTGAGGAAAAAGACTTTGTCGCTAAAGCAGAGAAGAACCTAAAACGGACTCCTCATAGTGAGCTAATATTTTATAAAAAGGTGTCAATCAAGGTGTGGCTTACAAAAATACTTTCAAGGATGTTTACTTTCCAGCCATCTCACTGGACAAGAACTGGGTGGTTTTCATTAACTTTGGACTGTGCTTTAATTTCCTAAAAATGATGTCACTTACTGCCCTGAGTGACATGGGATGGGATGCTGTGGTAGAGCACACTCTGGCTGATGTCTTGTACCTGCTGGAGACAGAAAAGGATGGGAGACACAGTCCTCCACAGGAAATCTCAAATGGGTCCCTCTTTCTTTTCAGATATGGACTTTCTGGGGAGTAATACTGTAGGGCTTTTCTTGTTGTTGCCTTTAACTGTCTCAAATGTTCTCCCAAAGATGCTACTGAACACAGCCTCTCCTTTGAGCAAGTTAAAAGTCTGGGTACGACTGTGAGAGGCTCCTGCCTGCCAACACTCTTTCTCCACTTTCAGTGACTGCTCTTCTTCTGAGGGCCGTAAACCAACAACTGCTCATCCCAAGATCCACTAAGCCCTCTGGGAAATTGGTGCTGTACTGCATACCCTGCCTGCTGGGACTTGTTACATTGATGTATTTTCTAAGGAGTGAATAATCTTGTCCAAGTAACTAACTTATTTAAAGACATTTTCTTCGGTGGGCACTGACTCCATGGCACCCGTTTTCCAAGGAGTTGGTGAGCTTGTTTCTGAGAATGCCAGAAATCAATGTACATTCCAAATCATTCTAAAAGTGATTTCTTTTCGGTGTGGGTTTGGTTTTGTTATTAATTTTGAAATATATCTTTGAATACTGAGATCTCTGAAACTACTAGATCTCTAGAAGTGTAATTGGGAAAGAAGGTTGCTTGCAGCTTTAACAAAATGAGAAACTCTTCCCAAATACAACCTGTTTTGAAGTTAAAAAAAAATGTGACATTAGAACCTGCAAAATCTAAGAGTTTCCAACAGCAGTCTCAATTCTGATGCTAACTGTAAGCTAGGGACTCCCCCAACAACGCTTCACTTCTTATGATTCCCAAGAAGGACTCACATCACTCACTGAAACTTGTGACGTTTGTTGATATGATTTTTTACAACAAAAGAATGCAGATTAAAATAATTCAAGGAAGGAGGTACATGGGCAGAGTTCAGGAGAATTCCAAGCACAGGCATTCAGTTGTCCTCTCCCAGTAAAGTAATAGACAATGCTGCATTCTCCTGGCAGCAATGTGTGATTCTGTGCATGAATTATTGCCAACCAGGAAAGCTCGCTGAAGCTTGGTGTCCAGGCAGGTTTTTTTGGGGGTGTGAGTTGGGGATGGGGTTGCTTATGTAGACCTTGTTGATCATCCTTATGGCTGACTCCGACTTGAATTTCCACTGAATTGACAATAAAACTTCAACCTTAAATATTTGGTTATTTTCTTTTTAATAAATTCTCTAAAATAAATTATTTTGAAAATGCTCGCTTTAGCTAGCTGTTTATCCAATATGAGACTCAACATAAATAGTTTCAAAAAGCCAGTGGGTCATTAAAACAATTCCTTTAGTCATCCAAAACATTCAGATAAAAATTAACACCATGTAACACTAAAATCGAATTATAGTCACTGGGGCTGGATTTCAACAACAGGAAGAGAAAGTAGTACAAATAGGGATGAGCAAAAAATAGACAAGTAATGGATGTGAATTGGCCTAGGAAATTTACAGTGGCAATGTCAAAAAGGTAAATCAATAGTTATTTGACAATACATGCTCAGTCCAGGAAAGCCACCAGGGGGCGGTCTGGGTCGTCTGCATCATAAGAAGCTCAAGGAGTTCAAACTGAATGAACCCTGCACAGTTGCTCACTGGGTCGTGTAAAATGTTAGAGCAGCTGCTTCCTCCCGCAACACACGGCCACTCTGGGCAGTCCCCTCACAGTGTGGCTGCTCTCAGGGCTGAGAACCTGGGTGGTGCTAAAGGTGGTGAATGTGGTAAAGATTTGCATAAAGCACCACACAACACACCTCCTCCACACAGGGATCTCAGTAGCATCTTCAAAGGATGGGCTTTCTGAGCTAAGAGCAATAAGAAGAAACTTTCTAAACTTACTAAAATTTATTTATTGAGTTATGTTCAAAGCAATACATGCCTATTACATAAAATCAGAAAGTATTTAAAATCACCGAGTTCTCGGCAAAGGTTCTTTATTCCAAGCAATCAATATGACTATTTTTTTTTATTTGGATGCATTCTTTCATTTTTGTTCTCAGTATTTCCACAATGGTGATCAAGCCTTGTGCTTTTTCATCTGCTTTTATACCCCTTTATGATCTAGTCATTTCAGGTTAATGTAAGTAGTGTTCCATTTCTTAAAAGGGATAAAATATTTAAATAGTTGCTAATTTTATTTTTATTTGAATACCAATGAAATATTATCATTTTTAGATAATTCTTATTGTTTGCTACTCAAACGAAGATATGATATTATCTTATTATTAAAACACTCCTGGTAACTTCTGTGGATTTTGTGAGGTCAGAAAAAAAATGCCTGAAATTTTCAATGGAAAGCCTTGAGTACATTACACCTGACTTCACAATGCAGTAAATAGAGAAACAAGAGTTTCCGATTCATGTAAGAAGGAGCATAACAGATTAAGGTATGAGGAATAATTTATATCCAAAACTACACCAGTGTCTCCAGGCATGTGTTAGAACAGTACCCCCCAAATTCTGTTGTGCATATGCATCTTCTGGGGATTTTACAAAATGCAGATTCTGATTCAGTGGCTCTGGAGTGAGGACACAGTCTCTGCATTTCTAGAAAGTTCCTACCACACAAAATCCACATATATGTTTGAACAATAACAAGGCCAGCCAGGAGAAGAGGCTCAGGTGTGTAATCCTAGCACTTTGGGAGTTTGAGGCAAAAGAATTACTTGAGGCCAGGAGTTTGAGACCAGCCAGGGTAACGTCACAAGATCTTTTCTCTACAAAACATGTTTTTAAATAATAAAAAATGAATTAGCCAGGCGTAGTGTGGCATGCTTGTCATCGTAGATACCTAGGAGGCTGAGGCAGGAGGGTCGCTTCACCCCAGGAGTTCAAAGCTGCGATGAGCTATGATTATGCCACTGCACTCCAGCCTGGGTGACAAAGTGAGACCTTACCTCTAATAACAAAAACAGCCATAACAAATTCATAAGAATAGTGTAAAATAAGGAGAAACCTTGGCAGACAATAACCTAAGAGATATCTCAGACATAGTGAACTAATGTGTTTGGATGACAGAAGAACCCCACACTTGGCTGGCTGTGGTGACTCAGGCCTGTAATCCCAGCACTTTAGGAGGCCAAGGCGGGCAGATCACCTGAGGTCGGGAGTTCCAGACCAGCCCGGCCAACATGGAAAAGCCCCGTCTCTACTAAAAATGCAAAATTAGCCGGGCGTGGTGGCGCAGCCTGTAATCCCAGCTACTCGGGAGGTTGAGCCAGGAGAATCACTGGAATCCGGGAGGCGGAGTTTGCGGTAAGCTGAGATGGAACGAGCCACACTCCATGCAGGAAGACGACCAGGGAGGACAGCTGCAAAGCAGGGAGAGGCTCCCCTTTCTTTAAGAAACAAAACAAAAGCAAACAAACAACTAACCTGACCTCCCCTCTGGCTCCCATCCAACATTCTTACTAGCTTCTCATCTAGTCTTTTCTGTAGTGTAGCCCATCCTTACCCTCTCCCCTCCCACATCTCTGATTCCTGAATTCCCTTCTTGGGTCTCTCTCCTTTTCCTGTCAACCACTTCTCCCCTCTATCATCCTGAGTTAATTATCAAGAGCTTTATAGCAGGAAGCCTATTGGTATTTTTCCAGATTTTTTTTCTTGGAATTGGACATTCATACATTTTCTCTCTTTTTTTGGGGGGGTAGGGTGGGGTGGGGGTGGGGGTAGGGACAGGGTCTCACCCTGGTTGCCCAGGCTGTGGTCTCAACTCACTGCAACCTTCACCTCCTGACTCAAGCAATCTTCTCAGCTCAGCATCCCAAGTAGCTGTGACTATGGGCACGCACCACCACACCCTGCTAATATCTTGTATTTTTGGTAGACATGGGGTTTCCCCATGTTACCCAGGCTGGTCTTGAATTTCTGAGCTCAAGTGATCCACCCTCCTCAGCCTCCCAAAGTCCTGGAATTACAGGCATGAGCCGCTGTGCCCAGCCTATTTTTTCTCTTTTACGAGCCTCTCTGATTCCCTAGTTCTGAAGTAGCCCAGAGTTGGCTGATTCTCCTATTTTGCCTCAGCTAGCACTTCCTCCTTCTCCTTTTTTTTTTTCTCCTTCTGATCCCTGGAGTCCTCTGCATTTCCACTGAATCCAGTGAACCACACAAGCATGCTCATTTATTCTCCCCAAACTCCACCACTCTGCCTTATGTGCTGATCCAGTGAGAATCAAGAAGGAAGAGAGACCCATGGATTTCTGTGCAGCCTGGAAAGTCAGTTCATGGCTGGACTTGGCTGGGACACCAGACACCTGTCTCCCTGTCTCTATTTAGTATTCATAGGGCCCAGCAGCTGCATCCTCCCAGGGTGCCTGAAGAGTCACTGACCATGCTCTCCTACCCAGCCTCAAGAAGCCACCCAGTCCTCGAGAAGTATAATCAGACTCAGCATCTTATGTGAAGGGAACAACCATGGGGACAGGTTAGACTTGCATTGAGTCCCCTCCTCTAAGAAGGGCCAGGGAAAAGGGGCTGTTCCCCCTAATCTGTGTGGCTCAGGAAGTAGAGCTCCAGAGACTTCTCTACCATGGCCTGAATCCCTCTGCTGCTCACCCTCCTCAGTCTCTGCACAGGAGGCTGGAGATAGAAAGGCAGGGACTGGCACTGGGAGGACCAGGGCTCTGCCTTGCTCCCCCGGCTCACCGAGCCACTTCCCACACCCTGTGTCTCTGTCCTGACTCTTAGGGTCCTGGGCAGTCAGGGCTCACTTGGTGGCCTGCACAGTTTGTCTGTGACTAAACCAGCCACCATCTCCTGCACTGGAAACAGCAGCAATAACGTCCTTGGAATTGTGTCCTGGTACCAACAATGAACAGGAAGTGTCCTTAAACCTCTGATCTGTGGATGTAAATATCCACCTGCAGATCCAGAACTGATTCTTGAGTGATCAGTCTGGCAAGGAGGCCTTCCTGAGCATATCTGGGCTCCAGGCTGAGGACAAGGCTGATCACTAACGTTGGATTTGGACAGTTCTCTGGAGGCCCCCACGGTGCTGCAGTCTGTGGGGAAGTGAGATGGGAACATTTCAGGTCTCCTAGGAGCACGACCCGACAGCACCACCTACAACTGGGAAAACTGGGCTGTTTACCATTTGTGTTCATGTTTGCTTGGGCTGGTGCTAGCCAGGGCCCAGGTCTCAGGTCAGGGACAGTGATTTAGAGAATGCAGCTTTGTTTCCTCAGAGTCAGCCCTCAGAGAAAGCCCATAGCAACAGCATTGTCAAATTGCCTCAAAAAAAATCAGAAAGTCCTTGGTTCCTGGAACAGGCTGCCCTAGGAACAGAGCCCAATCGGTCAGAGCAAGCAGGGACACAACTGTGCAGAAAACAACAAGTTTTACTTAGGGAGATAACGGTTGACTGTATAAAATGAGAAATATGTCACACTACTCACTTGTAAAAGTAAGTTTACCAATGCTATTCATTTCCCTATATCACTACGTTGAGTAAAAACTCTAAAATGTATGAAACCACTGTAGAGATAACTTTTGCTGAATTGCTACTTTAACATGTCATGGATCATTTATTTTTCTTGCAAAATTCTCATTATTCACCGTCCTTTTGAGTAACCCCCAGCTGCCCTTCAACCTAGCTCCTCAGCTGACCTCTTCTCCATGATGCCTACCCTGATGGCACATGTGGGCAGTTAGGTTTTTCTAGATTTTAAAAGTTATATATGTACATGTCTACATCCCATGGACCAAGACTCACTCTGGGAGTGAGAAATCACAATAATCATGCATAGCCTTATGGAATTAGTGTCTAGCAATCAGACCATAGAGGTGTGAATAGAGACAGTGACTAATGAGCTGCAGAGATCAGCTGGGCCATCAGGAGGTAAGTGTCCTCTAACCAGCATGGGATGCTGGGGGACTGCCCTATGGTCCCTACACAGCTGCTCAGTAAGGACCATTCACTCAAAGAAATCCAAGACTAGGGGCTAAGACCCCGTGCTCACTGAGGGGTACTTAGCATCTATGTCCTCCCATGGCATGGCAGAGTCCCCTGAGCAGGAAGGTGTGTATGGTTTCAGTAGGTGCTTTCTTCCGGAGCCCTCTCAAGGGGAAAAGCAAAACTTCTTCCTCCTCAGTCTGCAGTGTGAGCTGAGCTTCAGCCCCAGAGCTTAGAGAGGGGCTGGGCAGTCCCTGGATGAAAACACATTTGCATGAGCAGCCCCTCCTCTGCAGAGTATGGGAAGAAAAGGAGGCCTGGGGCAGCCCAGTCCCACTGTGCATGTCAGGCTGTGTCCACCATGGCCTGGACTCCTCTTCTTCTCTTGCTCCTCTCTCACTGCACAGGTAGGGACAGGCCTCAGAGATCAGGGCCAGCCACCCAACCTGATTCTGGCTCTTCTGGTAAAGATCCCTGAAAAACCTCACCCTGAACCCTGCCCATCAACCATGAGTGTCTGTGTTTGCAGGTTCCCTCTCCCAGCCTGTGCTGACTCAGCCACCTTCCTCCTCCGCATCTCCTGGAGAATCCGCCAGACTCACCTGCACCTTGCCCAGTGACATCAATGTTGGTAGCTACAACATATACTGGTACCAGCAGAAGCCAGGGAGCCCTCCCAGGTATCTCCTGTACTACTACTCAGACTCAGATAAGGGCCAGGGCTCTGGAGTCCCCAGCCGCTTCTCTGGATCCAAAGATGCTTCAGCCAATACAGGGATTTTACTCATCTCCGGGCTCCAGTCTGAGGATGAGGCTGACTATTACTGTATGATTTGGCCAAGCAATGCTTCTCACAGTGACACACACAGATGGGAAAGTGGGACAAAAACCTCACCCTGCTTTAGGTCTTGTTCTTAAAAAATTTTAAATTTTAAAATAACTGGCCTAGGCACAAACTACATTTGGAAGTACTTTCTAGTTGTAAAAGGCTCTTCTCTCAATTTCCCATCCATTCGTCTGAAGTCTCAGTAAAACAAAACAAAACCAAAGCAACTGATGACCCTGAAGTGTTGGCTGGTTGTCCACATGTGCTAACACCAGTGCCTGTGGAGCTGGACTTTTGTTCTTGAAAGAAGCAAAATGAGGCTTTCCTAGCTCACATCATGGTCAGAGCCTGGGGACATCCTAGCAGGTGAACAGTGCCCTGCAGCATGGACTCTGCTCTTCCAGCGTACGGGCAGAGACCTCCCCTTCCATCCCCAGTAGTCTGTTCTCAGGGCTGTCTGTGGCTCACTGTGTCCCAGGAACAAGGCACTCAAATATGAAATGCTGCCTGAGGACACAGGTCAGGGAATTCTAGATATAGTGCTGACCTGGCTCAGTCCTGGGTACCTGCATTTCAGTGGCAATGTCAGGAGATGGGGTTAGGTATTAGGGTAACTGGGGACCTGAGACCAGTAAACCTCTATGTAGGACATGACAGGAGAGTCAAGGGGAGGCTCCACTGTGGCTGAGACAAGCCAGAGGCTGCTCCTTGGCCACGGGGGAAGTAGGTCCCATGGATGTGACTTTCCTGCAGCTCATCCCACTCAGGACCATGGGGACTGCTGAGCGTGGGTTTCTTGATCCCTCAGCGCCTGTGTTCTCTTCTCCTCTCTTACACCATTGGAGCTTCTTGCTGAATCAGGGTCTAGTGGTGAGTATGTGGAAAGACCACCACATCTCAAGGTCACCTTTTTCTGCATGGGGAGCAGCAGAAACATTGGGCATTCCCGTGGAAATGGCTACGGAGGCCTCCCAGAAAGAGCCCCCAAGTTTATGACCTAGGACAGCAGTGATGGTCCCTCAGGGGTCCCAGCCTGATTCTCCTGCTCTGGGTTTATCCACACAGCCTCCTGGAGCACCTCTTGGCTCCAGCCTGAGGACTGGCTGGTTATCAGTGTCACACAGCTGCATCCTGACTCCATGTTACCAAGGGTTCCTGTTCCATGTGGAAATGAGAGAAAGATCTGCCCCACTCATCCTGTCTCCCCATCCCTCCTTTATCCCTGCCTGTGACCAACACCAGTTCATGCCAAGACTTCGGCTGTCACTTGTGTTACTGAAGCAGAGCACAAGTTCAGTAAAAATAATCCCTTTTCTTACTGGTCTCCCAATGCAAACAGAATCAATTTGTTTCTAGAAGCAAAAGGAGCTGCCCACACATGGTGGGTGGGGATGAGGTAGGGACAAGAAAGAATCCACCCTGTGTGACCCAGAGGCCCAGAAGCCTTTAGTCTGGTTCCAAAGGTGTCTCCTCCTCTTGGTGCAGTTATGCTGACCATTTCCTGAGCTCAGAAACTGTGCGAGAGATGCCAAGAATGAAGAATCCAGCCTGTGTGACCCAGAGACCCAAACGTGAGACAGGAAGTCTGATGCTTAAGAAAACGTGGGTTCAGCATTCTGAAAGGTCTAGATATGGCTTGGCCTAGAGCTGGTGTAGAAGAGAAGCAAGAGAGATGCTCAGCCTTAGGTGGCCCAGGCACAGCGGTCCTGTCAAGGGGTTGAGCTCTCTGCAACATGGAAATCCTGCAGAGACATACTTGGGAGGCTGTGATCCCAGAATGACACAAAAATGCTAATGGAAATGAGCAGGGGATTGTTTATGGGGGAATGGGGAGACAGGTGTGGGATAAGATGTGGTAAGGAGAATGCAGCCTGAAGAGGAGACTGTCCATTGTGACTCATAGGAGGAGTAGGGCCGGGGCCTACAGTAGTGATAAAAGGAGGACCTGGAAGGACCTGGGCCCTGAAGACACACAGAGACTGGAGTTTTGGTCTGTCTGTGAGGGTCCCATGAGGATAAAAATCCATGGTCAGTGTCCTCTGTCCAGGGCTCACTGTCCCAGCTGTTGTCCCTCCTGGATCCTCTGGGTGTCCAGATTCCGTAGCTGTGGACCTGTTCTCCTCTCTGTCCTCAGCCTAAGAGCTGATGGGGCATCCACCAGGAAGCACATCTGTGGGCAGGGAGGGGGCCATGGGCAGCCTTGTCCTGTATGTGAGGCACTGCTCAGCCTCGGTGATCCCTGTTCATTAACGTGGGAGGAAAGGAAAACAAAATTCACTGTGAACATCTATGCATCATCAAAGAAAAAGCAATGAGCCAAACAGGAAGTGAAGCCCAGCTCTAATAGTTTGTTTCTACTTGGAAATAAATAAAACTTAATATGCCTGATGTGTTACGTAAATGCAATAAACATTTTTTGAAAGCTATAAAAATTATGTAAAGGAACATGGCTTACACTAAAAGGAACACTTAAAATAATGACACCCTTGAAATGCAATCCCAAAACACAGCATACATTTTATTTCAGTTCCATATATGGACTGGTTTTATTTAAATGTCTATATTAAATCTCACTATTCCATTTTTAAATGGAGCACTTAAAATCTCATTCTACGGCAACTGCCTGGTGATACATTTACCAGTGGAAATATCAACAAAACCATCCAGCTGTTTTCCTCCATCCCCATAGAATTCCCCAAACTAGTAATTATTAAGAGCCCAGGATGTATCATGCCAGAATTCATGCAGTCGTAGGCATAACCTGTTTCATTTTTCATTCTGATCAACAGAATTACAATTTTTCTTAAGCTTGTTTTTAGCTTATTAGATTCTAGTTGTCATTACAGATCAAAGATAAATAATTTTCTATCATCCTTAAGCCACCCCCATAACACTCACTACTGAATTTGAACCATAATTTTTCCCTAAAAATCCTAGTTGGGGTGCTTGATGTTGAGAGCTACCACGTATCAGGCTCACCTGAGGACAGACTCTGGTTAAACCAAGTTAAAATTTTAATTCTTCCCATCTTCAAAGACTGAGCATCTTTGCTCTTTTTGTTCATAAGTGAAACACTCCAAAGTCATTTGCCAGGATCCCCTGCAGATGAGCATTTAGTGTACAGACTCCTAGGCAAGATCCCTGGTCACAGTATCCAGATGACTATGACTGCAAATCTGGGGAAGTAGAGGGAGAACAAAGATTTACCAGGAAAACCCTCTGGGAATTCCTCCCCAGGGAATCCTAGAGGAAAGAGCTCCCTTTCTCCTCAGCGCCACAGGATCCACAGAGGAAGGAGAGCTCTAGCCACCAGGAAGGAGCCACATGAGAGGAGAGGACCTGGTGTCCAACACAGGTGGGGAGGTGAGTCCATGGGGCTGGTCCCTGCTATGGGCTTGATCCTGACATAGGACTTTATGTAGATACCACCTGAGTCCTCTACAATGTACAGCCAAAGAGCCATGGAAAGATTCACTCCTGAGGAGTCTGAAGACTCCTCAGTAGAGCGTGAAGATAGCCCTGAAGTCACAGGGAGGAGACACAGACACCACTTGGCCTGCCTTGGACCTGAGAGAGGGGGCAGTGGACAGAATGGGGGGAGGAAGCCATGTATCTGAGAGGTTCTGGTCACCTTATCATAGAATGGTTTACCTTGATCTGGACACCAGAGGGCGCATGGGGATCATTCCTGAGAAGACAGGGGTGATCAGAGCAGAACCAGCCGCCTGCCCTGCCTGGTGTCCTCTGCTCAGGGCTCACAGCTGTGTCCTCCCCACCCCCTGGGACCACAAAGCTCCACCCCTGCCACCCCCTGACATCCTCAAGCCAAGGAGCCTGACCCAGGGCTCAGGGTGGGGTCACAAACCTGGGGGGGGTCTGATTTGCATGGATGGACTCTCCCCCTCTCAGAGTATGAAGAAAGGGAGAGATTTGGGGGAAGCTCAGCTTCAGCTGCGGGTAGAGAAGACAGGACTCAGGACAATCTCCAGCATGGCCTGGTCCCCTCTCTTCCTCACCCTCATCACTCACTGTGCAGGTGACAGGATGGGGACCAAGAGAGAGGCCCTGGGAAGCCCATGCGACCCTGCTTTCTCCTCTTGTCTCCTTTTGTCTCTTGTCAATCACCATGTCTGTGTCTCTCTCACTTCCAGGGTCCTGGGCCCAGTCTGTGCTGACTCAGCCACCCTCGGTGTCTGAAGCCCCCAGGCAGAGGGTCACCATCTCCTGTTCTGGAAGCAGCTCCAACATCGGAAATAATGCTGTAAACTGGTACCAGCAGCTCCCAGGAAAGGCTCCCAAACTCCTCATCTATTATGATGATCTGCTGCCCTCAGGGGTCTCTGACCGATTCTCTGGCTCCAAGTCTGGCACCTCAGCCTCCCTGGCCATCAGTGGGCTCCAGTCTGAGGATGAGGCTGATTATTACTGTGCAGCATGGGATGACAGCCTGAATGGTCCCACAGTGCTCCAGGCCCAGGGGGAACAGAGACAAGAACCCCCTTCCTTTTCTGCCAGGAGGGTGAGCCCCGGCTGCTGCTGCTCAGGCCTGGCCTGTGGCTTCTGCTGCTGCAGCTTCCCCCATGGGTCCAGGGATATCCAGGGCCCTGCCTGAGAGTGGAGGCTCCTCCTCCCCTGAGTCCTCAGAGTCAGGAACAGGGTGTCCAGAAAACAAAAGCAGGGTGTCCTGCTCCCTGTAGCTTGGGACACAGGGTCTCTGCACTGAAGTCCTGGGCTGAGGTGGCAGGTCCAGCTGTGTCATCACAGACCCACTTCTGTTGGGGAACCTGTGTCTCCATCATCCTACTTTTTCCATTTCCAGGAGTTTCCAGAGTGGTGTCTTCCTCCCCCTTCTCCTCAGTGTGAATCCCTGTGCTTCCTTTCTCTCCAGCCTATTCTTTTTTTAATAAAACTCCTTTCATGTAGGAATAATGCACATATAATAAGCCACCCATATTTACAATAGGGAATGAGACAAATTTTGGCATTTCTATGGATCCTTGAAAACATCACCACCACCGGGAGCTATACAACATACAACCTGTGACCAACCCCAATAGCTCCTCATGACCCTTGTCACCTCATTCCCTCCCCCAACACCCTCCTTGGAAGTTGCAGATCTGCCTCTGTCACTACTGTTTGGTTTCTCTTTTCTGGAATGTATCAGTGTTATCAAACATTATCTTCCCATTTGTTCAGGCTTCTTTCACTCTGCACACTTCTTTTGAGATTCTCGCTGTTGTTGCTGCATTGTACCCATCTCGTAGAGGGCTCCTTACTATCTTTGAAGGTCCTTAGGCCATTTTTTTCTGATTTTATTTATGTATTTATTTTAAAGTTTGAATTTATTGTGCATCCAAATCAAACTTTAGGGGCAATGTTCATCTAAGGTGACAGGACAGTCTGTGATGGCTTGTCGGGATTCTTGCTTCTTCATCTCTTGCTTCTGATTCTCTCTATAGTGGAAGAGGTTCTCGTCTTTCATTTATTTATATATTTATTTATTTACTGATTTATTTGGGTTTTTAAGGGTTTTAGTGATTTTTCTCTTTTTGGTTATTTTTCAATTTTTTTATTTTAATAGGTTTTTGGGGGACAAGTGTTGCTTTGTCACATAAATAAGTTCGTTAGTGGTGATTCCTGAGATTTTGGTGCACTCATCATCCAAGCAGTGTACACTGTACCCAATGAGTAGCCTCTCATCCCTCACCCCCCTCCTACCCTTTCCCCCGAGTCCCCAAAGTCCATTGTATCATTGTTATGCCTTTGTGTTCTCATAGCTTATCTCCCACTGATGAGTGAGAACATACAATGTTTTGTTTTCCATTCCTGAGTTACTGCACTTAGAATAACAGCATCCAGTTCCATCCAGGTCGCTGTGAATGCCATTATTTTGTTCCTTTTATGGCTGGGTAATATTCCATGGTATGTGTATGTATACATCACATTTGCTTTATCCACCTGTTGATTTATGGGCAGTTGGGCTGGTTCCATGCTTTTACAATTGTGCTGCTATAAACATGCGTGTGCAAGTATCTTTTTTGTATAACGACTTCTTTTTCTCTGGGTAGATACCTAGTCGTGAGATTGCTGGATCAAAGGGTACATCTATTTTTATTTCCTTGAGGAATCTCCACACTGTTTTCTGTAGTGACTGTACTAGTTTACCTTCCCACCACCAGTGTAAAAGTGTTTTGTTTTCACCACATCCATGCCAACATCTATTATTATTTTTATTTTTTGATTATGGCCATTTTTGTGGTAGTAAGGTGGTATCACATCGTGGTTTTGACTTGCATTTCCCTGATCATTAGCGATGTCAAACATTTTTCTATATGTCTTTTGTCCATTTGTATATCTTCTTTTGAAAATTGTTTATTCATGTCTTTAGTCCATCTTTTGATGGGACTGCTTATTTTTTTTCATAATTTGTTTGAGTTCTTTGTAGACTATAGACATTAGTCATTTGTTGGATGTATAGATTGTGAAGATTTGCTTCCACTCGGTGTGCTGTCTGTTAGCTCTGCTGATTCTTTTGCTGTGCAGAAGGTTTTTAGTTTAATTAAGTCCCATCTATTTATCTTTGTTCTTGTTGCATTTGCTTTTGGGTTCTTGGTCATGAAGTATTTGTCTAAAGTAATGTCTAGAAGGGTTTTTTTAATGTTATCTTCTAGAATTTTTACAGTTTCAGGCCTTAAATTTAAGTCTTTGATTCATCTTGGCTTGATTTTTGCATAAGGTGAGAGATGAAGATCCGGTTTTATTCCTCTACATTTGGCTTGCCAATTATCCCAGCACCATTTGTTCAATAGGATGTCCTTTTTCCACTTTATGTTTTTGTTTGCTTTGTTAAAGATCAGTTATTTGGCTCCATTTCTGGATTCTCTATTCTGTTCCTTTGGTCTACGTGCCCACTTTTGCACCAGTACCTTGCAGTTTTAGTGACTGTGAGTCAAATTATGCTAGAGTATAGTTTGAAGTTGGGTGATGTGATGCCTCCAGATTTGTTCCTTTTGCTTAGTCTTGCTTTGGCTATGCAGGTCTTTTTTGGTTTCATATGAATTTTAAGATTGTTTTTTCCAGTTCTGTAATGAATGATGGTGATATTTTGATGGGAACTGCATTGAATTTGTGGATTGCTTTTGGCACCATGATCATTTTCAACATATTGATTCTACCCATTCATGAGCGGGGGATGTGTGACATGATTTTTTCAGCAGTGTTTTGTAGTTTTCCTTGTAGAGGTCTTTCACCTCCTTGGTTGGGTATATTCCTAGGTGTATTTTTTTGCAGCTATTTGTAAAAAGGTTTGAGTTGTTGATTTGATTCTCAGCTTGTTCACTGTTATTGTATAACAGAGCTACTGATTTGTGTGCCTTACTTCTGTATCCTGAAACTTTGCTGTATTTATTTACCAGTTCTTTTTTTTTTTTTTTTTTTTTTTGAGATGGAGTCTCGCTCTGTCGCCCAGGCTAGAGTGCAGTGGCGCAATCTCAGCTCACTGCAAGCTCCGCCTCCTGGGTTCACACCATTCTCCCACCTTAGCCTCCCGAGTAGCTGGGACTACAGGTGCCTGCCACCATGTCCGGCTAATTTTTTGTATTTTTAGTAGAGACGGGGTTTCACCGTGTTAGCCAGGATGGTCTCGATCTCCTGACTTTGTGATCCGCCTGCCTCGGCCTCCCAAAGTGCTGGGATTACAGGCGTGAGCCACCGTGCCTGGCCATTTATTTACCAGTTCTAGGAGATTTTTGGATGAGTCTTTAAGGTTTTCTAGGTATATGATCACATTATCTGCCAACAGCAACAGTTTCACTTCCTCTTTACCAATTTGGATGTCCTGGATTTGTTTCTCTTGTCTGATTGCTCTGGCTTAGACTTCCAGTACTATGTTGAATAGAAGTGGTGAAAGTGGGCATTCTTGTCTTGTTCCAGTTCTCAGGGGAATTGTTTCCAACTTTTTTTTCCTTTCAGTATAATGTTGACTATGGGTTTGAAAGAGTGGGCTTTTCTTACCATAAGGTATGTCTCTTCTATGTCAATTTTGCAAAGGCTTTTAACCATGAAGTGATGCTGGATTTTGCCAAGTGCTTTTTCTGCATGCATTGAGATAATCATGTGATTTTTGTTTTTAATGCTTTTTATGTGGTATATCACATTTATTGACTTGCATATGTTAAACCATCCCTGCATCCCTGGTATGAAACCCACTTGAACATGGTGGACTATGTTTTTGATAGCTGTTGGATTTGGTTAGCTAGTATTTCATTTATTATTTTTGCATCTATGTTCATCAGGGATATTGTTCTGTAGTTTTCTTGTTTTGTTATGTCCTTCCCTCATTTTGGTATGAGGGTGACACTGGCTACAAAGAATAATTTAGGAAGAATTTCCTCTTTCTCCTTCCTGTGAATTAGTGCATTAGTCAGGGTTTTCTAGATGGACAGAACTAATGGAATCTGTATATATATAGCATGATCACAACATCCCACAATAGGCTGTCTGCAGGCTAAGGAGCAAGGAGAGCCAGTCCGAGTTCCAAAACTGAAGAACTTGGAGTTCCATGTTTGAGGGCAGGAAGCATCAAGCATAGGAGAAAGTTGTAGGCTGGGAGCCTAAGCCCATCTCTCTTTTCATATTTTTCTGCCTGCTTATTTTCTAGCCATGCTGTTAGCTGATTAGATTGTTCCCACCCAGATTAAGGGTGGGCATGGCTTTCCCACCCACTGACTCAAATGCTAATCTCCTTTGGCAGCACCCTAACAGACACACCCAGGATCAATCCTTTTTATCCTTCAATCCAATCAAGTTGACACTCAGTATTACTCATCACAAGTCCACCCCTTGTCAACTTCAACCCATATATATCTTCTGAGATCATACATAATCTTCAAATAAAGACAATAATAAGGTCATAATGACACCTAACATAATACAACTATCATTCATACAAACAGAAACACATCAATCCCCAACCCAAATACTGTTACATAAAGTTAACGATACTTAAACGCTGATGTGAAGTCAATAAATCTTATGTCACATGATAAAGGAGAAAGGAAATAACATGAAGATATTTTCTTAGGACAAAGGTATACACGCACAAACATGTTTTTAACAAAAGAAGGAGGAAATACTCATGACAATTACACTCCTCGTTTCTGCAGCTGGCCATAGCTGGTATTGATGATTACTTTCTTCTACTATCCATTCTGTATTCTGTATTCCCTTTGCCTTCAGCAAGCACCTCAGCAGGTCGTGGATATTTTTCCAGATGGTGTGATCCAAATCTTCATTCCTGAAGCATCTGGTTCATTTGTAGTCCTGCCTGGATAGGGCTGTTTTAGTTTTCCATGGACCTTAATCACAGGGCATGATAATACTAAGAAATGCCCTAATGGATCTCCTGTATTCCATGCATACTCTTCCTTACCTCCGTTATGGAGTAGTAAACTGATTTCATCTTGATAGTCTGTCCCAAACACCCCAGCCAACACTGTAACTCCCTTCTTAGCCTGTTGACTTAAAGGTAGGAGGAGCCCAAAGTGTCCAGGTGGCAATCTTAACTTCCCCAGTTTAATGGAATCATTGATGTGTCTCCAAGTGGCAGTGTTCCTTCCTCTGGAACTAAATCCTCTAAGCCAGCAGAACATAATGTCGTGGGAACAGGAAGCAAAAATTTTGCTAGTGGATCACTAGGGGTGATGGTGAGTGCTGCCACTTCCACTTCCACCCCTTGATTCCTAGACTCATGAATCCTGGCTATGGGAGAAACAGTGCCATATATTGGATGCTGACTCAGAGCATACACGCCTTCTGGGGAACTTAGCCCCAGCACTGCAAAGTATTGTCACCTAGTTGACATTGTAATTGTGACTTCAAAAGGCCATTCCATTGTTCTATCAATCCAGCTGCTTCAGGATGATGGGAAACATGGTAAGACCAGTGAATTTTATGAGCATGAGCCCACTGCTGCACTTCTTTATGAATAAAGTGAGTGCCCTGGCGAGAACAATGCTATGTGGAATACCAGGATGGTGAATAAGGCATTCCATGAGTCCACGGAGGATGGTAGTCTTACAGGCAAACCCATATCTGGAATAAGTGTCTATATCAGTGAGGACAAACCTATGCCCTTCTCATAATGGAAGATTTCCAATATAATCAACCTTCTACCAGATAGCTGGCTGATCACCCCAAGGAATGGTGCCATATCAAGGGCTCAGTGTTGGTCTTTGCTGCTGGCAAATTGGGCACTCAGCATTAGCCATAGCTAGGTCACCCTTGGTGAGTGGAGAGCCAGTTCGAGTTCCAAAACTGAAGAACTTGGAGTATGATGTTCAAGGGCAGGAAGCATCCAGCACAGGATAAAGATATAGGTTGGGAGGGTAGGCCAGTCTCTCTTTTCACATTTTTCTGTCTGCTTATACTTTAGCCATGCTGGCAGCTGATTCGATTGTGCCCACACAGATTAAGGGTGGGTCTGCCTTTCCCAGCCCACTTACTCAAATGTTAATCTCTTTCAGCAACACCCTGAAAGACACACCCAGGATCAATACTTTGTATCCTTTAATCCAATCAAGTTGACACTCGGTATTAACCATCACAATTAATGTCATAGGATTAGTACTAATTCTTCTTTGAATGTCTGATAGAATTCAACTGTGAATCTGTCTGGTCCTGGCTTTATTTTGTTGATTTTTTTTAAATTACCATTTCAATCTTGCTGCTTGTTACTGGCCTGTTCAGAGTTTCTATATCTTCCTCATTTAATTTGGGAGGGTTGTATACATTCAGAAATTGATCCATCTCCTCTGGGCTTTCTAGTTTATGTGCATAGAGGTAATCAGAGTAGCCTTGAATAATCTTTTATATTTCTGTGGTATCAGTATTAATATCTTCTGTTTCATTTCTATTTGAGCTTATGTGGATCTTCTCCCTTTTCTTGGTTAATCTTGCTAATGGTCTATTAATTTTATTTATCTTTTCAAAGAACCAGTTTTTTGTTTCATTTGTTTTTTGCATTGCTTTTTGTTTCAATTTTATTTAGTTCTGGTCTAATCTTCGTTATTTCTTTTCTTCTGCTGGGTTTGGGTTTGCCTTGTTCTTGAGTCTCCATTTCCATGAGGTGTAACCTTAGATTGTCTATTTGTGCTCTTTCAGACTTTGTGATGTATGTATTTAATGCTAAACATTCCTCATAGCACTGCTTTTGCTGTATCCCAGAAGTTTTGATAGGTTGTATTAAGATTTACTACAACTGCAACCTTACTATTGACCAATAGCTTTTTAATTCCTGAGAGTGTGACCTCATTTATGCCCAAAAACAACTTTATGATTGCTTTTCATGCAGTAGGCCATGATTAGAGAGGGAGTGCTTGTGGCCTGGAGGTAGGGTTCTCCAATTTATCAAATAAAAACATTGGAGTGCAGTTAAATTTGAATTCGGTAAAACAATGACAAAGAATTAGTATGTGTATCTCCCACATGATATTGTTAAATTGAAATACAAATTTACCTGGGTGCGCTGTAGTTTATCTACCAACTCCTCACAGGCTTCGAGGCTTGGAAGAGGCAGTGTTGGGGCTGGTCTCCTCTTACTGATGCCAGGTCTATGAGCTGAACCTCAAAGGCAGAGTCTCTCTAACACAGCTACCCTCCAGTGAGCATGTTAGTTAGCACTAAATACACCATATACGATTTCCAATGAATAACACCTACTCACTTCCCTAATTCTTCTTTCTATTATTCTCCAAGTCTGCAGACTCAGGACCTCCCCAGGGGTTGCTGCAGCCAGAGCTCTGGATGAGGGACCTCATAAGTCTTTCAAAACCAGATGCAAGGGGACTACTCGGTCCCCACACAGTGAGGTTTAAGCCAGGGGTGCATAAGCAACATGTAAGAGACAGAAGAGCTCAGTATGGCTCTTATGGCTCTCCTTCTGTCCAGTGAGAAAACTCCAGGGTCCTTTTGATGCTGAAGGTGGGTGGGCTGAGAGTAGGAGGAGACCCACCCTGACAGCCCAGAGATTCCAGGACAAGACTTGGCAGCCTGAAAAGGGGCCACACTCTTGAGTGGGGAAGAAGGAGGCAACTCTGCTCACAGGCGTGCATTTCTGGTGGCTTCCCCTTTACCAAACTGGACTCCCTACTCTGATGTCTATCAGAGAATCTCCCTCAGTGAGACCAAGATCCCAGGACATTGCTAAAAACAGCAGCATGGACCAGACAGGTATGTCATGGTACAGGAATTCTTTGCAGAGCAATAAATACAACTGCAGCTTAAGAGGGGCCCTCATAGTCATAACTTTGGTGAAGAAGAAAATAGACAAAGGCAGGGAGAAACTGAAGGGCTCAATAGGTCTGAGACTGGGGCAGCACTGGGTGCTATAGGCTTGTCCTTGAGGGGCTGCAGATAATGACAGCTGGGAAGCCATCATCTGTTCACTGCTCACTGGGCTCAGCAGCTGTGTCCTCACAGGGAACCAGATTCAGCCAACCTGGCTTTCTCCACCCCACCTGGGAAATGTATTCCGGTGACTGTCTGGACTGAGGTTCTATGAAGGGGCTAGGAGACAAGAAGAGGGAGACAGGCTGGTTTGCATAAAGAAAGCATTGCACACCCTTTCCTTTCATCTAAAACTCATTAATGGAAACTCTGGGGCCATCCATAGAAGTCTAGCTGGTCTCCTAAATTTGGGAGTTATGAAGGATTCATTCCTGATCAATCTACAGGAAGGGCCATCAGCAGGAGGTGGTCAGAGTGAGGGAGAAACTGGCTTCCTTGAGAGACTCTTCAACACAACCACCAACTCTGGGGCAAATGGGGTGACTTGCTATAACAGTCATCCCAAACTACTCACAGGAACCTGAGCCTAGTCCCCTCACCTTATTGCTTCTGATTCTGGTCCATGCCTCTGTTTTCCCTGGACCCCTTGCCCATGTCTGAGTCCAGAGTGGCAGGGATGGTTCCATCCCAGTCAACATCTACAAAGAAGTCTACATCTACAGCTACTATGACTTGAAGCAGAGTCCACAGTTGTACCCAAGAGGGCCTCTTCAGCTCCCCCACCCCTTCACACAGGTGACCTCTACTGTAGGTCTGGTTGAGTGGCCCCTGGACCCTGGTGAACACAAGGTATTTATTCCTCTCTAACACCAGGTATATAGTGGAGCAGGTCTGGGTGGGTATAGAGCAGAGTGTCTCTTCCAAATGTAATGCAGTAAGACCCTGGCTACAGAAAATCGTTTCACAAAACTCCACGCCCTTTCATGGTAAAAACACCCAATGAACTATGAATAGAATGAAACTACCTCAACACAGTAAAGACCATCTATGAAAATCCCACAGCTAGTGTTGGCCGGGCTGGTCTCCAGCTCCTAACCTCGAGTGATCCGCCAGCCTCGGCCTCCCGAGGTGCCGGGATTGCAGACGGAGTCTCGTTCACTCAGTGCTCAATGTTGCCCAGGCTGGAGTGCAGTGGCGTGATCTCGTCTAGCTACAACCTCCACCTCCCAGCCGCCTGCCTTGGCCTCCCAAAGTGCCGAGAGTACAGCCTCTGCCCGGCCGCCACCCCGTCTGGGAAGTGAGGAGCGTCTCTGCCTGGCCGCCCATCGTCTGGGATGTGAGGAGCCCCTCTGCCCGGCTGCCCAGTCTGGGAAGTTAGGAGCGCCTCTTCCCGGCCGCCATCCCATCTAAGAAGTGAGGAGTGTCTCTGCCCGGCAGCCCATCGTCTGAGATGTGCAGAGCGCCTCTGCCCCACCGCCCCGTCTGAGATGTGAGGAGCGCCTCTGCCCGGCCGCGACCCCGTCTGGGAGGTGAGGAGCGTCTCTGCCCGGCCACCCCATCTGAGAAGTGAGGAGCCCCTCCGCCCGGCAGCCACCCCTTCTGGGAAGTGAGGAGCATCTCCGCCCAGCAGCCGCCCCGTCCGGGAGGGAGGTGGGGGGCCAGCCCCCGCCCAGCCAGCCGCCCCGTCCGGGAGGGAGGTGGGGGGTCAGCCCCCTGCCCGGCCAGCCACCCCGTCCGGGAGGGAGGTGGGGGGGCGCCTCTGCCTGGCCGCCCCTTCTGGGAAGTGAGGAGCCCCTCTGCCTGGCCACCACCCCGTCTGGGAGGTGTACCCAACAGCTCATTGAGAACGGGCCATGATGACAATGGCGGTTTTGTGGAATAGAAAAGGGGGAAAGGTGGAGAAAAGATAGAGAAATCAGATTGTTGCTGTGTCTGTGTAGAAAGTAGACATGGGAGACTTCATTTTGTTGTGTACTAAGAAAAATTCTTCTGCCTTGGGATGCTGTTGATCTATGACCTTACCCCCAACCCTGTGCTCTCTGAAACATGTGCTGTGTCCACTCAGGGTTAAATGGATTAAGGGCAGTGCAAGATGTGCTTTGTTAAACAGATGCTTGAAGGCAGCATGCTCGTTAAGAGTCATCACCACTCCCTAATCTCAAGTACCCAGGGACACAAACACTGCGGAAGGCCACAGGGTCCTCGGCCTAGGAAAGCCAGAGACCTTTGTTCACTTGTTTATCTGCTGACCTTCCCTCCACTATTGTCCTATGACCCTGCCAAATCCCCCTCTGCGAGAAACACCCAAGAATGATCAATAAAAAATAAATAAATAAATAAATAAATAACAAAAAAAAAAAAAAAGAAAATCCCACAGCTAACATCATATGCAATCTGAAAGACCAAAGAGGTTTTTGTAATATCAGGAACAAAGCAATAATGCACACTTTCACCAGTTCTATTAAAAGCAGTATTGGAAGACCTGGCAAGAGTAATTAGGCAAGAAAAAGAAATAAACAGAATAAAAATTAGAAATAAAAAATAAAATCTCTGTTTTCAGATGACATAATGTCATATGTAAAATGCCCTTAAAAGTCCCACAAAAAATTATTAGAATGATTAAATGTATTCAGTAATGTTTTATAATACATAATCACCTTGTAAAAACATCTCATGGCTAGGCATGGTGACTCATGCCTGTAATCCCAGCACTTTGAGAGGTTGAGGTGGGAGGATTTCTTGGGTTCAAGAGTTCAAGAACAGCCTGGGAAAGAAAGCAAGGCTCTGTCTCTAAGAAAGCGGTGGGGGGTGGGGGGAAGAGAGAAAGAGAGAGAAAGAGAGAGAAAAGAAAGAAAGAAAAAGAAAGAGAGAGAAAGAAAGAAAGAAAGGAAAGAAAAAGAAAGAAAGAAAGAAAATCTGTTATAATTCTATACTTAAATAAGCAAACAGGAAACAACTCAAAATGAAATTAAGAAAAGAAATCAAATTACAACATCATTCGAAAGAGTAAAATACGGCTGGGCACGGTGGCTCATGCCTGTAATCCCAGCATTTTGGGAGGTTGATTTGGGGGTATCACCTGAGATTAGAAGTTCAAGAGTAGCCTGGTCAATATGGTGAAACCCTGTCTCTACTAAAATAAATAAATAAATAAATAAATAAATAAATAAATAAATAAATAAATAAAATTTAAAATTAGCTAGGTGTGGTGGCACATGTCTGTAATCCCACCTGCTCGGGGTTGAGGCACAAGAATCACTCGAGTATGGTAGGCAGAGGTTGCAATGAGCCAAGATCCTGCCACTGTACTCCAGCCTGGGTAACAGAGTGAGACAATGTCTCAAATAAACAAATAAATAAAGATAAACGAGTAAAATACTTAAGAATAATATTAATCAAAATGGTGAAAGACTTGTACATTGAAAACTATAAAACATTGCAAAAAGAAATTAATACACAAATAAATGGAAAGAAATCCTTTGTTCATTTATTGGAAAACTCAATATTGTTAAGCTAGGCATACAAACCAAAAGGAATCTACAGATTCATTGCATTCTCTATCAAAATTCCAAGTTAGTATGGAGATCATTAAAAAGTCAGGAAACAAAAGATGCTAGAGAAGATGTGGAGAAATAGGAATGCTTTTACACTGTTGGTGGGAGTGTAAATTAGTTCAACCATTGTGGAAGACGGTGTGATGATTCCTCAAGGATCTAGAACCAGATATACCATTTGACCCAGCAATCCCATTACTGGGTATATACCCAAAGGATTATAAATCATTCTACTATAAAGACACATGCACATGTATGTTTGTTGCAGCACTAGTCACAATAGAAAAGACTTGGAACCAACCCAAATGCCCATCAAGGATAGACTGGATAAAGAAAATGGGGCACATGTACACCACGGAATACTATGCAGCCATAAAAAGGGATGGGTTCATGTCCTTTGCAGGGACATGGCTGAAGCTGGAAACCATCATTCTCAGCAAACTAACACAGGAACAGAAAACCAAACACTGCATGTTCTCACTTATAAGTGGGAGTTGAACAATGAGAACACATGGACACAGGGAGGGTAACATCACACACCGGGGCCTCTTGGGGATGGGAGCTAGGGGAGGGATAGCGTTAGGAGAAATACCTAATGTAGATGATGGGTTGACAGGTACAGCAAATCACCATGGCACGTGTATACCTAGGTAACAAACCTGCACGGTCTGCACATATATCCCAGAACTTAAAGTATATATTTTTTAAAAAGTGCAAGCCAAACAAACAAACAAAAAGAATAGAAAAAAATTAATCCTAAAATTTATATATAATATTGAGAGAATCTAAATAGTCAAAATCATCTTGTAAAAGAAGAACAGTGTTGGAGATTTCACACCGATTTCAAAACATACTACAAAGCTACACTAATCAAAGCAGAGTGGTACATATAGACAGACATACTGACAAATAAAACAGAACTGAGTGCCTAAAAAAACCTCTTAGTTATACAGTCAAATAATTTTAAACAAAGTTGTCAAGACCATTTAGTGGAAAAGGACAGTCTTTTTCACAAATACTGTTGAGAAAACTGGATATTCACCAGCAATCTGGAAATGGATGAAAGACCCAAATGGAAGAGCCAAAACTGTCAAAATCTTAAAAGAAAACATTAGGGAGAAGGTTCATAATATAGGGTTTGGAAATGACTTCGTTAATATGACACCAAAGGCACAGAAAAAAATAGAAAAAGAAGAATATAGATAAATTGGATTTTATCAAATTGTAAAACTTATGGGCATCAAAGGACACTATCAACCGAGCAAACATTTGAATCATAGAATAGGAAAGATTGTCGCAAATTTTGCATCTGATAAGAGATGCAGACTATAGAAAGAACTCCTACCACTCAAGAGTAACTACAAAAATGAAAACAATCTGAATTATATGGGCAAAAAACTTGAGTTCGTATTGAGTAGACTCCAAAGAAGATCTACAAATGGGCAATAAGCACATGGAAAGATGTTCAGCATCACTAATCATTAGGCCAGTGAAAATCAAACCACAATAATATACAACTCCACACCCATTAGGATGGCATTACCAAAATAATAGAAAATAACAAGATCTAGCAAAGACGTATAGAAATTATAACTGTTATGCATTGCTGGAGGGACTATAAAATGATGCACCCATTGTGGAGGTCTTATGGCATTTCCCCAAAAAAATTAAACGTAGAATTGCCATTTTATCGGAATTTTCAGTTCTGGGTATGTGCCTCAAATAATTGAAAGCAGGATCTCAAAGAGAAAATTGTACACCCTTGTTCATAGCAGCGTCGTTCACAATAGCTAAAAGGTGGAGGCAGCTCAAGTGTCATCTAATGGATAAACGGGATACAGTATACACACACAAGGGAATAGTATTCAACCTTAAAAAGAAAGTTCTGCTATTCTGAATAATGCCGCAATAAACATACGTGTGCATGTGTCTTTATAGCAGCATGATTTATAGTCCTTTGGGTATATACCCAGTAATGGGATGGCTGGGTCAAATGGTATTTCTAGTTCTAGATCCCTGAGGAATTGCCACACTGACTTCCACAATGGTTGAACTAGTTTACAGTCTCAGTAAACTATTGCAAGAACAAAAAACCAAATGCCGCATATTCTCACTCATAGGTGGGAACTGAACAATGAGAACACATGGACACAGGAAGGGGAACATCACACTCTGGGGACTGTTGTGGGGTGGGGGTAGGGGATAGGGATAGCATTGGGAGATATACCTAATGCTAGATGACGAGTTAGTGGGTGCAGCGCACCAGCATGGCACATGTATACATATGTAACTAACCTGAACATTGTGCACATGTACCTTAAAACTTAAAGTATAATAATAATAAATTAAAAAAAAAAAAGTTCTGACTCATGCGATGGCATTGATGAACCTTAAAGACATCACGCCAGCAGAAATAAGCTGGCTTCAAAAGGACAAATATTGTTTGCTTGCCCTTATATGAGGTATCTAGAGTAGTCAAATCCATACAGACAAGAAGTAGAATGAAGTTTTCCAGGTGTTAAGTTTTGGTTTGGGAAGATGAAAAATTTCTGGAGATAAATGGTGGTACTGTGGTTGTACAACAGTGTTAATTTACTTAATGACACTGAAGTATACACTTGAAAATGGTTAAAATAATGAATTTTGCATTTGAATAATTTACCACTGTACAAAAGAGGAAGATTTATATTCAGTGTAGTTTCTCTACCAAGAACAATCAAAACATACAGGATTGGGAGAGTGTGCCTGAGTATTAGGACACCCTTCCTTTTATGCCAGCCTGCAGCTTCCTAAGAGGCCAATAGAGTTGGAAGCGCCTCATTACTGGTGACTCAAAGTAATGTGAGAAAGTCTGGGAGTGACCATGATGTAAGTGGTGGGTGTCTGACCCAGCCCAGGAGCAGCCGCAAATGCAGCAGCTGCCAAAAAGGGGGAGATGAAACTGATGGCAGCAGTAACAGCCTCTCCAGCTGGAGTGGGGCATCTGCTCTTGTGCAAAATGGTTCACAGTTGATACATTTAGCACAGAATCTCATCCTGTCTACCTGTCATGATCAACTACAATTTTTATTGCAAAGTATGCCATCAGAGTGGCATATTTTATCCAGCAGCAAGCAAACATGAAGGAAGTTTCCCTTAGTGCTTTGGTCAAACTGGCATGGCAGTCCTGAACACTGAATGAATATCCAAAGACAAGGTTCTCCAAAGATAAAGATATTATACTATTTATTGATAAATACTGGGAGTGCATGATGACCATTCAGACACCTGGGAAAATGACTTGGCTGAATAACATTGTTAAAACAATGAGTAAAAAAAGAGATGTGCTCTTGGTAAAGGAACACCTGGATCCAGGGTATAAAGACCGGAAAGAAGACTACCGCAGATTTGGACTTTTGGATCAGGACTTGGTAACATTGACCCTGTTTACGACAACCAAAAACAAAGCAGTGCTGTGTCTACAGTGGGAATCTGAGTCAGGAAACTGCAGCAGGAACAGCAGAAAAAAGGAAGAGGAGCTCAGTGCAAACAGAAGGATGGGGAGACCACAGGGACCACCAAGAAGGCCCAGAGTGACTTTTTGTTTTCCGCTCAGGGCTGTCCTCCTCACACCCCTTGGATCACACATTTAATGAAGACGGCTACTGGTATAGTCTAACTTAGCCTGATCCTCACACGGTTGGTCCTCAGAAGCTTGAAATTAACTGCTGGGCAGGAAAACCTATTCCTGGAGACCTCTACAGTGACTGCTTCTATGAACAGGTTTTGTTAGATCAACATGATTAAGCTCCCCAGTTAGAGATCTCCAGTGACTGGCTGGCTGACTGTGGTTGGAAAGAAGGTCTACTTTATGGTGCAGACCTCTCATGGGATACGGAAAGGGTCCTGGTACTTTGAAATCACCATGAATGAGATGCCACCAGACACCACTGCCAGACTGGGTTGATCTCAGCCCTAAGGTAACTATGAAGCTCCCTTAGGTTATGATAAATTTAGTTATTATTGGCAGAGCAAAAGGGAATCAATTTCCACCAGTCCACTGGCGAACACTACTGTTTTAGCTATGGGCAGGGAGACATCCTACGATTTTATATTAATCTTCCTGAAAACCCAAGAGACAGCCAAGTTACCAAGATAAGGCTTTGATAAAGTTCAACAATTATTTTTATTTTGTGGAAAAAGACTTTGTGGCTAAAGCAGGGAAGAGTCTAAAACAGATTCCATATAGTAAAATAATATTTTATAAACATGGTGTCAATCAAGATGTGGCTTCAAAAGATATTTTTAGGGGGTTACTTTTAGCCATCTCACTGGACAAGAGCTTCATAGTTTCCATTAACTTTGGACTGTGCTCCAAGTATCCTCCAAAGAATCTCACTTACTGCCCTGTGAGTGACATGGGCTGGGATGCTGTGGTAGAGCACACTCTGGCTGATGTCTTGTATTTTCTGGAGACAAAAGAGGATGGGGGCACAGTCCTCCATGGGAACCCTGAACAGGTCCTTCTTTCTTTTCAGATATGGACTTTCTGGGGAATAATATTGGGTGGCTTTTGTTGTTGTTATTGTTTTTGAACTGTCTTAAATGTTCTCCCAAAGATGCTACAGAACATAGCCTATCCATTTACCAAGTTAAAAGGCTGAGTAGGACTGTGAGAGATGCCCTGCTCATCATCATTCTTCTTCCACTTCCAGTGACTGCTCTTATATTCTTTGCCATAAGCCAACAACCGCTCATCCCAAGATCTCATAATCCCTCTGTAAAACTGATGCTGTACTACATACCTTGCCAGCTGGGACTTGTAATCTTACTGTATTTTCTAAGGAGTGAATAATCTTGTCCAGGTAACTAACATATTTAAAGACATTTTCTTCTGTGGACACTGACTCCATGCCACCTGTTTTCCAAAGAAGTGGTGAAGCTGTTTCTGAGAACACCTAAAATCAATGGTTGTACATTCCAAACCAATCTAAAAGTGATTTCCTTTTGCTGTGGGTTTGGTTCTATTACTGATTTGGAAATATACCTTTGAACACTGAGATCTCTGAAACTACTAGACTTCTAGAAGTGTAATTGTATAAGAAGTCTGTTTGCAGCTTTAACAAAATGAGAAACTCTTCCCAAATTAAAGCTTTCTTTGAAGTTAAAAAAAAAAGAATAATGTGAGATTGGAACCTGTGAGGTCTGAGGATTCCCAAGAGTACTCTCAATTCTGACGCTAATTGTAACCTAAGGGCTCCCCAACAGCCCTTCACTTCTTATGATTCCCTAGAAAAACTCACATAACTCCCTGAAACCTGTGACATTTATTGATACAAATTTTTACAGCAAAATAATACAGATTAAGATAATTCAAGGGAAGAGGCACATGGGCAGAGTTCAGGAGAATTCCAAGCACAAGCACCCAGTTGTCCTCTCCCAGTGGAGAAATAGACAGTGCTTCATTTTGCTCACAGCAATGTGTGATTCTGTGTATGAAACACCTATTTCCTGGGTGAGCCAACCAGGAAAGCTCACCCAAGCTTGGTGTCCAGAGGGCTTTTAAGGGGTGGTCTGGGTGAGAGTGGGGTTATTATGTAGACCTTGTGGATCATCCTCAAGGCTCACTTCAGTTTCCATTGAATTAACAATAAAACTTAAACCTTCAATCTTTGGTTATTTTCTTTTTAAAAATTCTCTGAAGTAAATTATTATTAAAATTCTCACTTAAGACAGCTGTTTATCCAATATGAGGCTCAATATAAACAGTTTCAAAAAGTCAGTAGGTCATTAAAACAATTTCTTCAGTCATTCAAACCATTCAGATAAAAATTAACACCATGTAATACAAAAATTGAATTATAGTCACAGGGACAGGATTTCAGCAATGGCAAGAAAAAGTAGTGCAAATAGGAATGAGCAAAGAATAGACAAGTAATGGGTGTGAATTGGCCTCGGAAATACCATGGTAATGTCAAAAAGATAAATCAATTGTTATTTTGTTAAATAAGTGAAAGGCCAGGCATTCTCAGTCCAGGAAAGCCATCACAGGGCAGTCTGAGTCTTCTGCATCTTAAGAAGCTCAAGAGGTTCAAACTTAATAAACCCTGCACAGTTGCTCACTGGTTCATGTAAAATGCTAGAGCAGTTGCTTCCTCCCACTCAGCAAATCCACAGCACACAGTCACCCTGGTCTGGCCCTTCACAGTGTAGATGCCCTCAGGGCTAAGAACCTGAGTGGTTCTAAAAGTAGTAAAGATTTGCATAAAGTACCACACAACACACCCTCTCCACATAGGGAGCTCAGTAGGACATAAAGAGCCATCAGAATCCAGCCCCGACTCTGGAGCCAGGAGTCCCTTCTAATATCAGCATCATGGCCTGGACTCCTCTCCTTCTCCTTCTCCCCATGTACCTCCTCACTTGCTGCCCAGGTTAATAGAGATTTCAAATACCAGCCTTTGGAGGGATTCCTGTGTCTCCCTTTCTAATTCCCAACATGTGTCTGTTTTTTGTTTCAGGGTCAAATTCTCAGGCTGTGATGACTCAGGAACCCTCACTGACTGTGTCCCCAGGAGGGACAGTCACTCTCACCTATGGCTCCAGCACTGGAGCAGTCAATGGGGGTCATTATCCTTACTGGTTCCAGCAGAAGCTTGGCCAAGCCCCCAGGACACTGATTTATCATGCAAGCAACAAACACTCCTGGACCCCTGCCCAGTTCTCAGGCTCAGTCCTTGGGAGCAAAGCTGCCCAGACACTCTTGGGTGTGCAGCCCGAGAGGTGAAGCTGAGTACTACTGCTTACTGCACCATAGTCGTGCTTGGCACAGTGACAGACTCAGAAGAGGAACCGAGACATAAACCTCTCTAGGCCCTTGTGATATGAAGATCATATGATCACGCACACCAGCTCTCAAGGCAGCCTACATGTGGACCAGCCATAGAAAGGGGAAGGAAAGGATCTGAATTGATTCCTATCCCTGCTTAAGCCCTGAAGTGAAGGAAATGTGAGAATGATCTGGGAAGAACTGGATCAAAAAAAAAATCAGAAGTTTATTGCTTTGTATTCTAAAAGGAGCACTAACAGCTGGATCAGATCTAAAGGCTGAGGCTAAATGCATTTCCTCCAGAAAGAAGCATCTTCAAAGTATGGGGTTTCTGAGCTAAGAGTAAAGAGAAGAAACTCTACTTTTGTATATTTCTAAAGTTTGTTTTATTGAGTTACTTTCAAAGCAATACATGCCTATTATGTGGAATCAGAAAGTATTAAAAATCACCAAGTTCTCTGCAAAGCTACCTTATCCCAGATAATCAATAGAAGTACATTTCTTCATTTGGATGCATTCTCTCATTTTTGTTGTCAATATTTTCACAATGGTTATCAAACCTTGTGCTCATTCCTCTGGTTTTATACAGCTTTTTGCTCTGTCATTTAATGTTAATGTAAGTAGTTTTCCATTTATTTGAAAGGGTAAAATATTTGAGTAGTTGCTAATTTTATTTTTATTTGAATACCAATGAAAAATTATAATTTGGGGTAATTCAAATTGCTTGTCAGACAAAGATGTGACATTGGGCTATTATTAAAATGCTCCTGGTCTTCTCTGTGGATTTAGTGAAGTCAAACAAAATGCCTGCAATTTTCTATGGAAAGCCTTGAGTACATTATGCCTGACTTCACAATGCAGAAAATAGAGAAACAAGAATTTCCTGCTCATGTTTGCTGGAGCATAATAGATTCAGGTACGAGGAACAACTTATATTGAAAACTACGTCAATGTCTCCATGCATGTGTTAGAACAGTACTTCCCAAACTCTATTGTGCATACAAATTATCTGGGGATTTTATAAAATGCAGATTCTTATTCAGTGGGTCTGGAGTGAGGACACAATCTCTGCATTTCTCACATGTGCCTGCCACACAAAATCCACATATATATTTGAATAATAACAAGTCCAGCCAGCAGTGGAGGCTCATATGTGTAATCTTAGCACTTTGGGAAGCTGAGGCAAAAAGATTACTCGAAGCCAGGAGTTTGAAACCAGCCAAGAGCAACATAGCAAGATATTTTCTCTATAGTTTTTTTTAAATAATAAAAAATGAATTAGCCAGGCATAGTGCTGTATGCTTGTAGCCCTAAGTACTAAGGAGGCTGAGGCAGGAGGAGAGCTTCAGCCCAGGAGTTCAAACCTGCAGTGAGCTATGATCATGCCACTGCACTTGAGCCTGGGTAACAGAGTGAGACCTTGTCTCTAATAATAATAAGAAAAACGACAACATATCCATAAGACTAGTATCAAATAAGGAGAATCCTTGGCAGGCAAGAACCTAGGAGAAATCTCTGACATAGGGAATTTACCAGCTTGCATGATAGAAGAACCCCACACTCCATGGAGGGAGATGACCAGGGAGGACAGCTGCAAAGCTAGGAAAGGCTCCCCTTTCTTTGAGAGCAAAAACAAAAGCAAACAAACAACAAACCTGACCTTCCCTCTGGCTCCTGTCCAACACTCTTACTGGCTCCTCCTTCAGCCTTTCCTATAATGTGGCCCATCCTTACCCTCTCCCCTTCCACATCTCTGATTCCTGAATTCCCTTCTTTGTTCTCTTTCCCTTTGCTACCACCCACTTCTCCCCTCTAATCTCTTGAGTTAATTATCAAGGGCTTTATAACAGGAAACTCATTGGCATTTTTTCTGCATCTGTCCTTGAAGTTGACACTCATACTTTTATCTCTTTCTTGAACCTCTCAGATATGCTTAGAACTGAAGAAGCCCGAAGTTGATTGATTCTGTTTTTTCACCTCAGCCAGCACCTTCTTCTTCTCCTTTCCAGGAGAATCTGTATTTCTCTGTATTTCCAGAATTCTCTGTATTTCCAGTGAATCTGTCAGACACAGTAAGTACCTCTTCAAAGGTTTAATTTCTGACTTCATTGTTCTTTGTTCTCGAGATGAACTTCCTTGTCCCTTCTCCTAAGCTACCTGCTCTGTAAACAACTTCTCCCACCAGTCCCAATCTGTAACTCACATCTCCTCCTTATTTAGAAAGAGTCCTCTTTTACTCCTTGCTACCCATTCTGTAAACTGCCCCTCCCACAAAACTACCCTTCCCACATTTGCCATGCCCTGACATGCCCAAACATACCTTGTACCATAATGGACTGCCTCTCCCTTCCCACCTAATTAGCCATACTCAATTTTAAACAGTAGCCAATCAGGTCAGTTTAGATTGTGTGGTCCAACTCCAGCCAATGGGGACAGGACACAGAAGCAGGGACTAACCACGTTAGGGATGAAAACCCCTTCCCTCCTTTGTTTGGTGTGCTCTTGCAGTGGTCAGAAGTGCAAGCGGCACTCTTCTGTAGAAATAAGTTTGCCTTGCTGAGAAATATTTTGTCTGAGTGCTCATTTTCCTTGCGACTCTGAGCTCTTGTTTCTAACAAAATAGGGGGTCATCTGGGATTCCCATTCTCCTCTGAGGAAGGGCCTCTGATCACCTCTTAGGAGGAGATGCATCCCACTGCTTCATTGCAGTGGCCTCAGGGGTAAGGAATCAGGACCCACCCAGCATGATAAATAAACCCAGACTCTCAGCAACACAGGAAGAAAAGGCCTACAGTTACCGTGGCGACCAGGTAACTGTGCACAGACAAAGGTAAGAAAAACCACTAGGGCAGTGAAGTACTTCCTTAGTGGTCAGGACATTCTGCAGGTTGAAAATGTGTGAATGAGATGCACAATTAAGTGCAAAGTGAGTGTGGAGTAAAGTAAAGGGTGCAAGAAATCTCTAGTAAGAGAGGTTGAGCCCCAGGGAAATGGTGCAAGAAATCTCTAGTAGGAGAGGTTGAGCCCCACGCACACTCAGCAGGGAAAGGAGAGCGAGAAACCTCCAGTAGCGGGGATTGAGCCTCCAGGGAAAAGGGTGCAAGAAATCTTTAATACGAGAGATTGAGCCCCCATTAACCTCCAAGACGGGAGTGCAAGAAATCTCTAATATGAGAGATATGAGCCCCCATTAACTTCCAGGATATGAAATACCCTAGTAAAACAAGAACTACAAAGGGCAAAGGAGATAACACAATTCCCTCTGATAGCCTTCTAGGTCTCATGTTAAAATATTGGAGGGATAATGAAAGGACTAAACACAAGAAAAAGCAACAAATGATCAAATATGGGAATTGTTTTATTTGGACCAAAGAACCTATTCTCAAACCTTCAGTTTTCTGGCCAAGGTTTGGATCAAATGAGAGTTGGATTTGTCAACTTTTAATAGAGTATGTAAATGACAAAAGTCCTGCTTCCCAAGAGGAAATAGACTCTGCTGTGTCTTGGTGGCAGGGGCCGGTCCTCCTCTACCCCCTTAAAACTAGTAAGGATAAGCCAGAAACTAATTCCCCTGTAGGAACTAAGGCCCCACCCCTGAGCAATCCATGTGGGATCCCTTAGACCATCTGCCTCCACCAGATACCCCTAACTTCTCTCAAGCAGCCACCCAGACCCTTCCCCTGCTCACATTATGCCCTCCCTCCTTATAATCCTGACTGTTAGGGCTGTCCCCAACCTGAACGCCCTCCTGCAAGAAGGCTTCAACGTGAGATAGAGCAATGTAAAAAGGATATTCAAAACTTCCCTTTCCCCTCCTCCTCAAAAGAGTCTGCCCCAATCGTTTTTCCCTTAAGGGAAGTGTTTCTAGGAGGAGAGGGAGTTGGCTTTGTAAATGTCCCCTTAACTAGTTCAGAGGTCAGAAACCTGAGGGAAGAACTTAAACCACTATTAGATTATCCTTTTGGGGTCGTGGATCAAATTGACCAATTTGTAGGATCACAAGTATACACTTAGGCTGAGCTAATGTCCATCTTAAGTGTTCTCTTTCCGGGGGAGGAAAGAACCATGATACAGAAGGCTACTATGATAGCCTGGGAGTGCAAATATCCTCCCAGTCAAAATACCCCTGCAGCAGAACAAAAATTTCTGGCCCAAAACCCCCAATGGGATAATAACAATGCAGCCAACTGAGAAAACATGAAAGACCTTAGGGAAAAGGTAGTTAAAGGGATTCAGGAATCAGTGCCTCAAACCCAAAATATTTCCTGAGCATTTAATATACAGCAGGGAAAAGACCAGGGAGCCATGGAGTTTTTAAACAGACTCAAGGAACAGATGAGAAAATAGGCAGGCTTAAACATAAAGGATCCCCTTAGGCAGGGATGTTAAAACTCCATTTTGTTACTAATAGTTGGCCAGATATCATGAAGAAATTACAGAAAATAGAGACCTGGAAATATCGGCCTATAGAGGGAACAAGAGGGCAGGGAGAGGAGAGAGAAAGACTGACAGAGGGAACGGAGGGAGCCAGGGAGAGAGGGGGGGAGATACAAAGGCAGAAAGAGAGAGAGGGAGGGAGAGACAGAGAGGCAGATAGATGGAGAGGCAGAGAGACAGTGAGGAAAAGTCAGAGACCCAGACAGAGAGGGAGAGAAAGAGAGGCAGAGGGAGAGAAAGAGGACGAAACAAATGTTTCAAATGTGAAAAAATAGGTCACTTCAAAAGAGAATGTCCTGAATGGGAAAAAGAAACAAAAGTCATATATAAAAGCAGATCAGCTAATATTAAATTTCTGTTAATTCCAGAGGCAGGAACATATCTATTAGGGAGAGATTTAATGCTAAAATTTGGCTTAGGCCTTTATATTAATCAGGGAAAATTTCTCATCTCCTTAAACCTACTCACCACCACGGATGAAGAGCGTATCCATCCTGACACATGGTCAAAAGAAGAAAATTGGGGGAAATTACAGTTCCTCCAATCAAGCCCAAATTAAAAACTCCTGGGGAGGTAGTAAAAAACCAAAATCTTTCTTTTGAAAGCTGAGGGAATAACCTCACAGACCAAATAGCCAAACAAGCTGCCATTTCCTCTGAAACGCCCATGTTTCACCTCACCCCTTGCCTTTCTCCCCCAACCGCCATTGCCATCTTCTCCCCTGCTGAAAAGGAGAAATTAATAAGAATAGGAACCAAGGAAAACTCAGAAGGGAAATGGGTGTTACCAGATCAAAGAGAAATGCTATCCAAACCTCTCATGAGGGAGGTTTTATCTCAGCTGCATCAAGGAACCCACTGGAGACCTCAAGCTATGTGTGATGCAGTTCTTAGAGACTATGGATGTATAGGAATTTATACTCTAGCAAAACAAGCTACAGATAGTTGTTTAATATGCAAAAAAACTAATAAGCAAACCCTAAGAAAACCATCCTTTGGAGGAAGAAACCCAGGAAATTAAGGCCATTCCAAAGCATCCAGATAGATTACACCAAAATGGCCTCAATAGGTCACCTAAAGTATCTACCAGTAATAGTGGATCACCTTACTCGCTGGGTAGAAGCTATTCCCTTTTCAAGTGTAGCCACCAGTAATGTAGTTTAGACATTAACTGAAAATATTATACCTAGGTTTGGATTAATAGAAAATATTGATTCAGATAATGGAAACTATTTCCCTGCACATGTCATTAAAAAGCTAGCCCAAGTATTACAAATAAGATGGGAATACCATATCCCTGGCACCCACCTTTATCAGAAAGAGTAGAAAGAATGAACCAAATCCTAAAAAGCCACCTAATCAAACTAGTTTTAGAGACTCGACTACCTTCCTATTGCCTAATTGAGGGTCCGAACTGCCCCTCGGAAAGATATTGGCTTATCTCCTTAAGAAATGCTATACGGGTTGCCTTATTTACACTCCACTGCTGACATTCCTACATTTGAAACTAAAGATCAATTTCTCAAGAACTATATAATTGGTCTGTCTTCCACTTTCTCTTCCCTCAGAACTAAAGACCTTTTAGCACTGACACCACCCTTGGAGCTCCCAGCACATCAGCATCAGCCTGGGATCACATTCTCATCAAAAGCTGGAAAGAAGGAAAACTCGAACCGGCTTGGGAAGGACACTATCTAGTGCTTCTAACTACAGAAATTGCTGTCCGCACAGCTGAAAGGGGATGGACACCCCACACACAAGTGAAAGGAGTGATTTTCACAGCGAGAGAAAAATGGGCCGTCACCCCAGGGCCCACCCGCACCAAATTAAAAAGGGCTGAATAATCATTTGTTTATTTTCCCTTTTCTTTCCAACAGAAAGTCACCTCATCATCAGTGTGCCTCAAACTAATCGTCCCTTAACCCTCCAGTTCGATGCTTGTTCAGTCACCTCATGTAGAGATGAACGAGCTCAAAGGCAGCTATCAAATGTAGATAAGTATCTGTGTCCGTACCGTAGTGAGTCAACCAAGTATAAGTATAGAGCCTTAAAAAGTCCCTGTGGTGACTGGACAGATGTTTGGTGGACCACCCAATATGGAGGGTGGACAGCCAGGCCCCCTTTTTCAAACAATTCTGAGGACTGAAACAGAAACTCCAACTTATTCGTGGTACCACCCCACCAAATTGTAAGTCATTGCAGTGTAACCCCTTATTGCTAATTATAGATAATCCCCAAACAATGACCCAAGAACCCTCCATATTCGAATGATATGGGTTAGGAGCAGATGTTACAGGACAGGACCCCATAGGAATCTTCTTTCTGAGGTTGGCTAGACCATCAGTTAAAAACAATAAAGAAATCCAGACCCAGAGTCCAGGGAACCTATGGGAGCCAATGCTCTCCCCAAACATATCAGGCTCAGCATTCTCTTCTCATCTCCAGAATGACCCAACTAAGGTAATGGTTGTGGAGGTAAAAGATTTAAAGCAGACTACAGCTCTAGAGACAGGGTACAAAGACGCAAATGCCTGGCTGGAATGGATTAAATCTCCTGTCCACACTCTAAACAAAAGCAATTGTTACACTTGTGCACATGGCAGGCCAGAGGCCCTGATTGTCCCCTTTCCACTTGGAAGGTCCTCCAGCCAACCAGGCATGAACTGTATGGTAGCTGTCTTCCAACACCCCACAGCCTGGGGTAATGAATTATGCTGAACTCTCTCTCTGCTATTTCCTGAAGTCCAGCACCCTGTGGGTCAGCCCCTGAGGGCCATCCAGCTTCTGTCTCCTGATGCAAGTTTCACCCCATGTCTCTCACGACAAGGGGAAAACTTAGCATTTCTTGGAGACCTAAAGGGATGCAGTGAGCTTAAGCCATTCCAAGAGCTGATCAATCAGTCTGCCCTGATCCATCCCTGAGCAGATGTATGGTGGTATTGCTGCGGACCATTACTAGACACTTCCAAGTAACTGGAGCGGCACTTGCACTCTGATCTAATTGGCCATCCCTTTCACTCTGACATTTTGTCAACCAAAAAGGATAAAGACAAAGCATCATAAAACAAAAGATGCTCCTCATGGGTCCTTTGACTCTCATGCTTATATAGATGTCATTGGAGTCCAGAGAGGAGTGCCAGATGAATCTAAGCCCCAAAATCAGATAGTTGCAGGGTTTGAGTCCATACTATTCTGGTGGTTGACTGTAAATAAAAATGTAGATTGGATAAATTACATCTATTACAACCAGCAAGGATTTGTTAACTATACTAGAGATGCTATTAAAAGGATAGCTAAACAGTTAGGACCCACCAGCCAAATGGTTTGGGAAAATAGAATAGCATTAGACATGATACTAGCAGAGAAAGGTGGAGTCTGTGTTATGAGTGGAACTCAATGTTGTACTTTTATACCTAGTAATACTGCTCCTGATGGAACCATAACAAAAGCATTACAAGGTCTTACTGCTTTATCCAATGAAGTAGCTAAAAATTCAGGAATAAACGATCCCTTCACTAATTTAATGGAGAAATGGTTCAGCAAATGGAAAAGACTTATGTCCTCAATCTTTACTTCTCTTGACATTGTAATAGGTTTGCTTATTCTTGTAGAATGTTGTATCATACCCTGCACCTGAGGCCTACTACAAAGGCTTATTGAAACAACTCTCACTAAAACCTTTTTCAAATCCACCGCCCCCCCACCTTATTCAGATAAGCTCCTACTTTTAGAAAACCAAGCAGAACAACAGAGTCAAGGCATGTTAAAAAGGTTTGAAGAGGAAGAATTATAAAAATCAAAAGGGGGAAACTGTCAGATACAGTAAGTTCCTCTTAAAAGGCTTAATTTCTGAATTCCTTGTTCTTTCTTCCTGAGATCAACTTCCTTGTCCCTTCTCCTAAGCTACCTGCTCTGTAAACAACTTCTCCCACCAGTCCCAATCTGTAACTCACATCTCTTCCTTATTTGGAAAGAGTCCTCTTTTACTCCTGGCTACCCATTCTGTAAACTAACCCTCCCACGAAACTACCCTTCCCGCCTTTGCCACACCCTGACTTGCCCAAACGTACCTTGTACCATAACAGACAGCCTCTCCCTTCCCACCTAATTAGCCATATTCAATTTTAAATAGTAGCCAATCGGGTCAGTGTAGATTGTGCAGTACAACTCCAGCCAATGGGGACAGGACACAGAAGCAGGGACTAACCACATTAGGGATGAAAACCCCTTCCCTCCTTCATTTGGTGTGCTCTCGCAGCAGCCAGAGGTGTGAGTGGCACCCTTCTGCAGAAGTAAATTTGCCTTGCCGAGAAATCCTGTTTGAGTGCTCATTTTCCTTGTGACTCTGAGCTCTTGTTTCTAACAAATCCAGTGAACCACACAAATATACTAGCCAATTTTCTCCAATCCCCACCATTCTGCCTTATGTGCTGATCTAGTGAGGAATCAAATAGGAAGAGAGACCCATGGATTTCTATGCAGCCTGGGAAGTGAGTTCATGGATGCACTCAGTTGTAACACCAGACACCTGTCTGCCGTTTGCTGTTTAGCATTCACAGGGCCCAGCAGCTGTGTCCTCCCAGGGTGCCTGGAGCATCACTGACCACACCCTCCTACCTCCCACCCACCTACTCCTCAAAAAGAAAAATCAGACTCGGCATCTTATGTGAGGGGCACAGCCAGGGGTCAGGATAGATTTCCACTGAGTCCCCTCCCCTAAGAGACACCAGGGAAGAGGGGTTGTTCCGCCTAATCTATGTGGCTCAGGAAGCAGAGCACTACAGACATCTCTACCATGGCCTGGACCCTCTCTTCCTCACCCTCCTGAGTCTCTGCAAAGGTGGCTGTGACATGACTCTGATGACTGGAGAAACACCAGGGTCCTTTGTCTCACACTGAGAAAATTAGTGACATGGACACACATTGAGTGGTTTTAAGGAACAGAAAGTTTAATAGGCAAGAAAGAAGAAAACAGCTCCCCCATACAGAGGGAGGAGGGATCCTAATGGAAAATCCCACATGCAATGGAAAACAGCTGATTATATTGGGAGGCTGGAGGAGGCAGTGTCTGATTTGCAAAGGGCCCAGGGGATTGGTTTGACCAGGTGTGACATTCATGCAGCCTGTAAAAAAAACTGGCCCTCCCACCTTAGCCTTTTAATATGCAAATGCAGGTCACCATGATGTCCTGCACATGTGGCTTTTATCTGGAGGCTGCCATGACACCTGGCACACGTGGTGACAAAAAGAGGAGGGCGAAAGCCACCATATTGGGTGGACCTGGCTTCTAGCCACCAGCATTTGCATATCAGTGCTTGCCAGTCTGGTTTTTCAAGCTGCTTTCTGTTAGCAAAGAAATGGTTTGGGGGTCGCTTTTTATTAAAGGAAAATTCCACCGAGAACTTACACCATTTCTAGCTGCCTAAAAATTATTTCTTAATGACTCCTGTTATTTCCCCCCTCAGGAGAAGTAAACCTAACTGTCGTTAGGGGATGTTGGACAACAATTCTTTCTGGCTACTTCCTTCTGGAAAGGGGCGTCATGTAAGGGGACAGCAGTTGGGCCTCCTCCTGAGGTTGATCTAAGGATTCTCTGAAGAATGGCATGTCCATGTGTGGCTCTGTCTGCAGCATTATTTGGAGTTTGATTGCTTCTAGGTGAAAAGAGATAAATCTTACAAGAAGGTTTAAAATATAGGGTTAGAATATGAGTATTAAGATTACCACTGTTAGTGGGGGTACTATAGACCACAACTATGACAGCAGAGTTTGATACTTGTTAGTTACACCAGTGGATTGTAATACTGGGTTGTCTCCACTAGATGTCACTGAATATTACCAGAAAGATTAATATGAAAGTGACATTTTTCCTTGAGAAAACCATACATTTCCCCCTTTACTTGCCATTAGTGAATAGTTTTAGGCTTAGACCATTTTTATAACTTGCAATATAATTGGGAGAAATACATTATTGGGTGGCTAAATTAACTTTAGTGTTAATCTTGACAATTCCTTTTCTTTAATTATTAAATTATTTCATGACTTTCACAGACCCTCTTACAACATACTCAAACTTTCCGACTTGTCCTAAACATCCTTCCTTTAAATAACCAGTCATTTGCTTTTAGGACAAGAATTTCCCACACAAGATCTTTTCTTATATAAAGTTCCTTCTTTTATAACCTTCTTTCTATAGCTTAGAGTGCACCATACAACCAGTCTTCAATAAAAAGTCCTATCAAACTTAATGATAGTAAAACTTTCATGCTATATCCATAACTATTACTCCTGCTATAAGCAAAACAGCCTTGACTAAATCTTTCCTGCAATTGTTAATCCTGTTATAAGGATGATAATTAGACAAGATGTTACAGCAATTAGAATTTTACAACCAGAATTCCACATTGTGAGTGCCATAGTGTATAGTTCTATTGCAAATAGTAGTGTGACTGTAACAATTCCCACAAGACTGGCATAGTAAATAATTTCCATTGAAAACTTTACTTGCCAAGATATAACATTTCCCTTTGGGAATCTACAAGGTTACAAATGCAATTCTATGAATAATCAAAATCTCCCTGCGAATATGCATTAAAAAGAAGTTCTAATATTTGGTGGCAAATTTTTAGAGGAAGGGGTACAAATAATAAAAAGTGGCCGGGCATGGTGGCTCACACCTGCAATCCCAGCGCCTTGGGAGGCTGAGGTGGGCAGATCACGAGGTCAAGAGACTGAGACCATCCTGGCCAACATGGTGAAACCCCATCCCTACTAAAAATACAAAAAAATTTTGGGAGGCTGAGACAGGTGGATTATGAGGTCAGGAGATCGAGACCGCCTGTAGTCCCAGCTGCTCGGGAGGATGAGGCAGGAAAATGGCATGAACCTGGGAGGCAGAGCTTGCAGTGAGCTGAGATCGCGCCACTGCACTCCAGCCTGGGCGACAGAGCAAGCCTCCATCTCAAAAAAAAAAAAATAAAATAAATAGCTGGGTGTGGTGGTGCATGCCTGTAATCCCAGCTACTAGGGAGGATGAGGCAGAAGAATCACTTGAACCCGGGAGGCAGAAGTTGCAGTGAGCTGAGATCATGCCATTGTACTCCAGCCTGGTGACAGAGCAAGACTCTGTCTCAAAAATAATAAATAAATAAAAAGCATCTGGTGAGGTAGGAGTGGGACTGAGTAGGATGAGTAGCCCTCACTCAGTTACTTATCTTTTATGATTTTCAGCTTAAGATCTTCTATTTCTCCACTTTGATATTCAGGACGTTCCTCTGGGCTGTCAGGGGTTGCTCCCTCAGGCATTCAGGCTTTGACTTGAGTGTGATGTATTCAGAAGTTGACACCTGTAACTTTTGCTGCCAAGGGGGTTGAAAGAGAACAGTGTAGGGCCCTTCGCAGCTTGGCTTAGGGAAGGAGAGAGAGGTGAGAGTTTTCACTAGTACCAAATTTCCTGGGTTAAATAAAGGTGGTTCTATTTCCTGGGGCTGGGCTTCTGCCAGTTGTGTCAATTTCTGTTGGAAGTGAGGTAGAGAGGTTACATGCTTAACCAATTTATAGGTTTTCTGCCTGAAAACAGTCTCTGAGCACATTGACAAATTTTATCCTTTCCTAAGTGAAAAGCTTGGTGAAGGATTTTAAGAACTTTCCATTGGCTGGAGGCTGGCAAATGGAGTTTGCCATCCTCTGGCTGTAGCCATCCTGAGAGATAAAAAGCATACCCTTGAGAAGTGGCCTATTCTGTTTCTGCAGGAAAATACTGAGGTTTAATTTCTGTTATGGAGCATTCCTAGATTAGAAGGGGGCTTGAAGTGTGTTAATGCCTTGAGGCTTCCTTGCCTTTGACTTAGCTGCCTGATTAATCTATTTCCTTTGGCTACTTTATTTGCTGCCTTTTGGTGTTCCTATAATGTATCCCTGCTATTTCTCACGGCATAAAAAGTGAAGATAATAGCCTGCTAATTTTCTGGTGATATTTTACAGGAAATCCATTAGTGGTAAGAGGATGTCTTTCCTTTTAAATGGCAGCATGAGTATGGAGAGCTAAGAAAGCATACTTGGAGTCCGTGTAAATGTTGGCTACCTTTCCCTTGCTTAATTGAAGTGTTCTCGTAAGAGCTATTAGTTCAGCTAATTAAGTGCTTGTGTCTGGGGAGAGATGTTGTTTAGAGTGACTACTGCTTATCCTGCCTTATGTATTTCTTGCTTTACCGGCTGTTAGTTAAAAGCGCCCCCTAAAGGACAGTAATCCTGCCACATTACGTGGGGTGTAAACAGTTAAGTTCTTTCCCAGGATTAATTTGGAGGCTTTTCTAACTGTAAAGCTATCATGACAATGGCTTGGAAGCATGTGTAAATAGGTCCTCCTAACTGCAACTAAGGTTGAGAAAAATATTGTACTAGAGTTTTTCCTGAGATGTTCCTTATGGTGATGCTATGAGAAGAGGGGAGGCCTGGATTAGAGAGAAGAAAAGAGAGAGATTGGCTTTAGTATTTAGAAGGACATCTACTTTCCTTCAATTTCCAGAATCACCCAGGTCCTGGCACCCTGTTAAATGTGCCACCCATGTTTGCAAGCGTGACCCTCCAAGCCATGGCACCAGAGGAACTAAGCTTGTGGGCCTAGTCGTGCTACCCCAAGCAGCTCTAGTCCTCTGCCTATGATTTCCCTTTGACTTCCTAGACTTGTGTGATCTGTGTGTCTCACCCCACCCCCACCCCCAAAAAAATAGATCTTGGCAGAAACTATATGGAAGGAAAGGCTCCTTTAATGGAGGGAATGTGCTAGATTGCCTGCTATTATGGCCTGTGCTAAAGCATTTACCCTTAGAAAAATGGTTCCAGTTAACTTCCAGACTTAAAATCTCCTTACTAATTAAGTACTGTTTTAATCGGAGAGAGAACAGGTGTCTTAAAGGAACGCGGGGACCTAATGGCGACTTTCCTGCTAATGGGACAGTATCGGGGCACAAATTCGGCTGCAGAGGAATTTTACTCCTAATAGTTAAAAGCAGAATTTTCCCGTTCACAGGAGCAGCATAAATCCTGGTTTCCAGTAGAAAGGTGCAAAAAGAAAAAAATTGAGAAGCTGCGGTGTACCGCGGAGATCAGCAATGTGTCGCATAAAGAGGATTTTATTTCCACTAGGTGGCGCTGTTGGCCTAGAAATACCATGTGCTCACCAGAGGAATTTTAGGGAGTAACCTCACTGAGGGGCAAAGGAAGACTTCTGTTCCTAGAAGATTGCAATGGCATTTTCCTGAGCTATCTCCCCAGTTACTACAGCATTTTCTGATCTTGCCTACCAGGATTACTTCCCTACGCTGTAAAAATTCCCGCACATTTGACACACAGAGAGAGTAAGAGACATAACGACCACGGATAAAAAAGGAAGAAGGTTCTGCGACAGGATAGCTAGGGATCCTTTACCAACATCCAGAGCAGGCCGTTGGAGGCTGGGTCCAGTCCCGAAACCTTTGAATAACACCAGGCTGTGCCCTGGCCAGAAATTCTCAGTTGCTTCAGAACTTTTCCCAGCCTCACGCGATGGCTAAGTTTCCCCATGAAAAGAAACTGATTTGAAGCATGACCAACATTCCCAAAGACCCGTGAGTATTGCGGGTTCTCCGTGTTCTGACCAGCAAGCCTAACACTCAAGTCTTTAGAACAACAGCCATGATAAGCGTATTTAGACGGCCAATGGATGCCCATAATTGATTTGATTTTGATTTTAAAATAGAGACCAAGAACCTCTGAATGACAGAACAGACTTTGAGTTCACTCCTCTAATCACTACGTCGATGAATGTTGTACCTTGGATTCCCAGTGAAGGCACCAGAAAGGATACGGCTCTGATGACTGGAGAAACACCAGGGTCTTTTGTCTCATTCTGAGAAAATTAGCAACATGGATGGACATATGTGGAGTGGTTTTAAGGAGTGGAAAGTTTAACAGGCAAGAGAGAAGAAAAACAGCTCCCCCATAGAGAGGGAGAAGGGCTCCGAACGGAAAACCCTACATGTGGTGGACAGCAGCTGGTTATATTGGGAGGCTGGAGGAGGCAGTGTCTGATTTGCACAGGGCCCAGGGAATGAGTTTGACCAGGTGTGTCATTCACGCAGCCTGTAAAAAAACTGGCCCTCCCACCCTAGCCTTTTAATATGAAAATTCAGGTTGCCATGATGTCCTGCACATGTGGCTTTTATGTGGAAGCTGCCGTGACACCTGGCACATGTGGTGACAAGGAGAAGAGGGCGAAAGCCACCATATTGGGTGGACCTGGCTTCTAGCCACCAGCATTTGTGTATCAATGCTTGCCAGTCTGGTTTTTCAAGCCGCTTTCTGTTAGCAAAGAAATGGTTTGGGGGTCGCTTTTTATTAAAAGAAAATTCCACCAAGAACTTTCACCCTTTCTTGCTGCCTAAAAATTATTTATTAATAACTCCTGTAGTAGCTGGAGACAAGGAGGCAGGGATGGCACTGGGAGGACCAGGGCTCTTCCTTGCTCCCCTGGCTTACTGAGCCACCTCCCTCACCCTGTGTCTCTCTCCTGACTCTCAGGGTCCTGGGCAGTCAGAACTCACTTGGTAACCTGCACAGTCTGTCTGTGGCTAAACCAGTCACCATCTCCTGCACTGGAAGCAGCAGCAATAAGGGTCTTGGGATTGTGTCCTGGTACCAACAATGAACAGGAAGTGTCCCCAAACCTCTGATCCATAGAAGCCAATATACACTTTTAGGGATGTAGGACTGATTCTCAAGCTATCAGTTTTCCAAAAAGGCCTTCCTGAGCATCTCTGGGCTCCAGGATGAGAACAAGGCTGATCACTAATGTTGGCATTAGTGATCATGTTTGTGATTTGCTATAAAATCATCCAGCGATGGAGTAAGATGATGGGTAAAAAGGGTTGAAAGATTAAACAAGATGAGTCACACTGATGATGTCAAAGCTAGCTGATGGGTGCCAAGGATTCATTAGACAACTCTCAGCATATTTATATAACTCAAAAATTTCCATAATAATCACTGCCTAAAAAAATCCATGTCTGTGATGAGAGGTATATGTCCTGCTTTTAATTGGTATGTAACCTGATTTTAACAATGTGGTATATAATCTGCTTTTAACAACGTGGACAAAATGTAAGCTTACATTCTGACTTCAAGTTGAAGCCCATCTTCTCCTAACAGGCAAAGGAGGAGCTGGGGTGGAGGCTATGAAAGGGACCGGAGCTCAGCGTTTCCCCGGACAAAGAAGTGAGTGAGGCCGGAGTCCCAGCAGAAGGACGAGGGGCTGTGAGATGGGCTATGGGAGTGTGCAGGGGCCACAACGTGCAGGTCATGCTGCTGGGGCCACAGGATTCAGGTTTTATATAAACAACAAGGAGCCACTGAAGGTGTTTAAGCCAGGGAGTGACATGCCACATCTGAATGAGAAGCATCTCTCTGAATTCCTTGAGGAGACAGTGTCTGAAGGAAGTGAGTGACCTGATTCTAGATTATTTACTAAAGCACCTTGTAAGTCTAGAAATCCAGGGGCCATTTACAATTAGCACAAGTGTAGATGTGGGCTACATTGAAGAAGTGATGGTCTCTTGTCATTCTTCACAGAACTAGAAAAAACAATCCTAAAATTCATATGGAACCAAAAAAGAGCCCACATAGCCAAAGCAAGACTAAGCAAAAAGAACAAATCTGGAGGCATCACACTACCTGATTTCAAACTATACTATAAGGTCATAGTCACTAAAACAGCATGACACTGGTATAAAAATAGGCACATAGACCAATGGAAGAGAACAGAGAATCCAGAAATAAACCCAAATACTTACAGCCAAGTGATATCCAACAAAGCAAACAAAAATATAGAGTGGGAAAATGACACCCTATTCAACAAATGGCGCTGGGATAATTGGCAAGCTAGATGTAGGAGAATGAAACTGGATCCTCATCTCTCACCTTATACAAAAATCAACTCAAGATGGATCAAGGACTTAAATATAAAATCTGAAACTATAAAACTTATAGAAAATAACATCAGAAAAACTCTTCTAGACATTGGCTTAGGCAAGGATTTCATGACCAAGAACCCAAAAGCATATGCAACAAAAACAAAGTTCAATAGGTGGAACTTAATTAAACTAAAGAGCTAAAGAAAAAAAAGAGCTTAATTAAACTAAAGAGCTAAAGAACTAAAGAAATCAAAATAATCACTTATAGAATGATGAAATCGGTGTCTGGGAATCAGAACATGGATGTGTGAATACAGACAGTGACTGGTGAGCTGCATGGCAAAAGGAACATCAGCAGAGTAAACAGACAACCTACAGAGTGGGGAAAATTCTTCACATTCTATACATCTGACAAAGGACTGATATATCCAGAATCTACAAAGAACTCAAACAAACTAGAAAGAAAAAAAAAACTCATCAAAAAGTGGGCTAAAGGCATGAGTAGATAATTCTCAAAAGATGATATACAAATGGCCAAGAAACATATGAAAAAATGCTCAACATCACTAATGATCAGGGAAATTCAAATCAAAACCACAATGAGATACCACCTTACCACCTGCAAGAATGGCCATAATTAACATATAATAGATGATGGCATAGATGCAGTGAAAAAGGAACACCTCTACACTGCTGGTGGGAATGTAAACTAGTACAACCACTGTGGAAAGCAGTGTGGAGATTTTTTTAAGATCTAAACATAGAACTACCATTTGATCCAGCAATCCCACTACTGGGTATCTACCCAGAGGAAAAGAAGTCATTATACAAAAAAGATATTTGCACACACGTTTATAGCAGCACAATTCACAACTGCAAAAATGTGGAAGCAACCAAAATGCCCACAACTCAATGAGTGAATAAAGAAACAATATATATATGATGATATACTACTCAGCCATTAAAAGGAATGAATTAATGGCATTAGTAGCAACCTGGATGGGATTGGAGACTTATTCTAAATGAAGTAACTCAAGAATGGGAAAACATTGCATGTTCTCACTCAGAAGTGGGAGCTGGCCAGGAGTGGTGGCTCAAGCCTGTAATCCCAGCACTTTGGGAGGCCGAGGCGGGTGGATCACAAGGTCAGGAGATCAAGACCATCCTGGCTAGTGTAGTGAAACCCTGTCTCTACTAAAAACACAAAAAAATTAGCTGGCCATGGTGGTGGGTGCCTGTAGTCCCAGCTACTCAGGAGGCTGAGGCAGGAGAATGGTGTGAACCTGGGAGGTGGAGCTTTCAGTGGGCTGATATCATGCCATTGCACTGCAGCCTGGGTGACAGAGTGAGACTCCATCTAAAAAAAAAAAAAGAAGTAGGAGCTAAGCTATGAGAATGCAAAGGCAGAAGTGTTACGGGAAGTCAGGGACCCCAAAGGGAGGGACCGGCTGAAGCCATGGCAGAAGAACATAAATCGTGAAGATTTCATGGACATTCATTAGTTCCCCAAATTAATACTTTTATAATTTCTTACGCCTGTCTTTACTGCAGTCTCTGAACATAAACTGTGAAGATTTCATGGACATTTATCACTTCCCCAATCAATACTCTTGTGATTTCCTATGCCTGTCTTTACTTTAATCTCTTAATCCCATCATCTTTGTAAGCTGAGGATGTGTGTTGCCTCAGGACCCTGTGATGATTGTGTTAACTGCAAAAATTGTTTAAACAACACTAAATCTGGGCACCTTGAAAAAAGAACAGGATAACAGTGATGTTCAGGGACAAGGGAGATAACCATTAGGTCTGGCTGCCTGAGAGCCATGTGGAACAGAGCCATACTTCTCTTCTTTCAAAAGCAAATAGGAGAAATATCGCTGAATTATTTTTCTCAGCAAGGAACAGCCCTGAGAAAGAGAATGTGTTCCTAGGGGTAGGTCTCTGAAATGACCGCTCTAGGAATGTCTGTCTTTTACAGTTGTAGATAAGGGATGAAATAAGCCCTGGTCTCCTGCAGCGCTCCCAGGCTTATTAGGATGAGGAAATTCCCGCCTAATAAATTTTGGTCAGACTAGTTGTCTTTTCTCAAACCCTGTCTCCTGATAAGATGTTATCAATGACAACGCGTGCCCGAAACTTCATTAGCAATTTTAATTTCACTCCGGTCCTGTGATCTCGCCCTGCCTCCATTTGCCTTGTAATATTTTATTACCTTGCGAAGCATGTGACCTCTGTGACCCACACCCTATTCATACACTCCCTCCCCTTTGAAAATCACTAATAAAAACTTGCTGGTTTTGCAGCTTGGGGGGCATCATGGAACCTGCCGACATGTGATGTCTCCCCCAGACACCCAACTTTAAAATTTCTCTCCTTCCCTTTATTTCTCAGACCGGCCAACACTTAGGGAAAATAGAAAAGAACCCACACTGAATTATCGGGGGCGGGTTCCCCTGATAAGAAGAATGACACAATGGACTTTGGGGACTCAGGAGGAAAGGGTGGGAAGGAGGGAAAGTGGTAAAAACTATAAATTGGGTACAATGTATACTGCTCGGGTGATGGGTTCAGCAAAAGCTCACAAATCACCACTAAAGAACATACTCATGTAACCAAATATCACCTGTTGATATTACTCCTATCAACATTACTCCTACCTGTGTCTGTGTATCTTTGTCATGTGACTTATCCCCCTTGACTTTGTGCTTGGCCCTGTTCTCACTTTGAGTAATGGAACATTTGTGGACCTTATGCAAGCTCAAGTTTAAATGTCCTTGCACCACTTGGTTTGCCCTCTTTTGCAACTCTCATTACTAAGATCTTGTCCTGGATAGTTTTTGGCCCTTCAGGCTGGGTTTCCAAATAAACACGTGTGAGTAATAAATGCTGATATTTGTGACTGTTACATAGCAATATATGAATGATACATCTAACATAAAGCAGACACTGGATATTGGTGTGGTGAGTGAAAACACTCAGGCTTGTATGTATGTAGATTCCTCTCCCACAGAGGGCAGTCATCAATATTACCAACTCAACTAAGAGGATGATTCTTATTTGGTGCAGTTTCTCTAATTCCAAGAGCAGTGGAGAAGTCTAATACCAGGGCAGTGAGCACGACCATCTGAACAACTCTTCCTTTTATGCTGGCCCTGACGCATCCTAACAGGCCAAGAAACTTGGAAGTGCCTCCCTGGAGGCAGCTGGGAGAGTGATGACAGATCGGGCTACGTGGGTGATTTATTTATATTCTTCTATTGTCTAAGATGGATATGTTTATTTAAAATTGGAAATAACTGCTATAATTAAAGCATTGAATAAAACTAAAATTAAGAATTAAAAATTTATATATTCTCCAACATCCTATCAGTCAAAGAAAATTACAGGTGGGTATTAAATTGTCAGATAAAAGAAGAACTTTCAGAGCAAAGGAAAGAAATGAATATTTATAATCTCCAAGCATTGCATGTATATTTTCTCTAATTCTACCATTTGGCTACATTTTAAGGTGCCCTAAAATTTGCTTTTTTTTTTTAAATTTTCTTTCGCTTTCCAATTCTATCTCATTATCACCCATGAAGTCCCATCTTTATTTTTTTAACAACAAAATATTAGGAGAAAATTAATCATCATTTAATCCATTTATTTTTATTTATTTATTTTTGAGATGGGGTCTTGCTCTGTCATCCAGGCTGGAGTGCAATGGCACAATCACGGCTCACTGCAGCCTCTGCCTCTGGAGCTCAAGTGATCCTCCCACCTCAGCCTTCCAGGTAGCTGGGACTATAGGTGTGCGCCACCACACCTGGCTGAGTTTTTAAAATTTGTATAGAGATGGGGTCTCACTGTGTTGCTGAGGCCGGTCTCAAACTCCTAGGCTCAAGCAATCCTCCCACCTGAGCCTCCTAATGTGCTGGGATTATAGGTGGGAGCAATAATCATTTAATCTAAAATTCTCTCAGATGAGTAGGTATGGGAAAATTTTTAAAAAAATAATAATATTAAAATAATAATATAATCTAAAACCTTTTTTTCACAAATATATCTCAGGCCCAAATTTTCATCCGTCCATCCATACATTCATCAATTCATTCACTCAACCATCAAACATTTATTTATTTATTTTTTTGAGACAGAGTCTCCCTCCATTGCCCAGGCTGGAGTGCATTGGCTCGATCTCCACTCACTGTAGCCTCCGCCTCCCAGGTTCAAGTGATTCTCCTGCCTCAGCCTCCCAAGTAACTGGGACTACAGGTGCAAGCTACCACACTTGGCTAATTTTTTGTATTTTTAGTAGAGATGGGGTTTCACCATGTTAGCCAGGATGGTGTCGATCTCCTGACCTCGTGATCTGCCCACCTCTGCCTCCCAAAGCGCTGGGATTACAGGCATGAGCCACCACACCCAGCCCATGAAACATTTATTAAGGGCCCATTCTGGGTGACATATTATGTTAGGTTGGACTGTGAGGGTATAAATACAGGACAAATGAGAAGGGTTCCTTCTGTCAAGGAGAACACACTCGAAGATACTAGAAATAAAATAGAAACTTCTACGCTAATTACTAATACAGAGAATTACCAGATTTTTGAAAGCTCAACTAATAAAGCAACCACCCTTTTCTGGATATATCAAGAAAGTGTCTGCCTTGGATGTGGGATCTTAGAAAAAGAAGAGTAAGTATGGAGGAAATGAGGTCATCTCCAACAGAGGGACTGTGTGATAGTATGGACTGCATATTTCTGTCTCCCCCAAAATTCTTAGATTGAAACCCTAACCCCCCATGTGATAGTATTTGGAGGTAGAGCCTTTGTGAAATAATTAGGTTTAGAAGAGGACATGAGAGTGGAGCCCTCATGATAGGATTAGTGTCCTTAAAAGAAGAAAAAGAGACTAGATCTTTCTGCCATGCCAGGCTACAGAGAAAGGTGCCATCTACAAACCAGAAAGTGGACCCTCGCCAAGAACCAAATCTGCAGGCACCTTGATCTTAGACTTCCCAGCCTCCAGAGCTATGAGAAATAAAGGTTTGTTGTTTAAGCCATCCAGTCTTTGCTATTTTTTTTATGGCAGCCTGAACTAAGACAGCCTGGCAAACACAGGAAAGGAAGCTATAAAAGGGCACAATGGGCTGGGTGCAGTGGCTCACGAATGTAATCTCAGCACTTTAGGAGGCCGAGGCAGGTAGATCACTTGAGGCCAAGGAGTTCGAAACCAGCCTGGCCAACATGGTGAAACTCCATCTCTACAGAAAATACAAAAATTAGCCAGGTGTGGTGGTGGGAGCCTATAATCCCAGCTACTCAGGAGGCTGAGGCAGAAGAATCACTTTAGCCCAGGAGGTGGAGGTTGCAGTGAGTGGAGATCGAGCCAATGCACTCCAGCCTGGGCGACAGATTGAGACTCTGTCTCAAAAAAATAAAAGGCACCAATGACTGTGTGTTGAGTGACCAATTGTGTTGAGCCATAGAGGAAAGATGTAGGCACCAGTGACTTGTCCAGGATCAGGGATGACACACTTCTTTTTCTTGATAGCTATTCTGTCCTCTCCCAGACATTTTTTTTTTTTTTTTAACACTGCTGTCGCCCAGGCAGGAGTGCAGACATGGCTCATTGCAGCCTGAACCTCCTGGGCTCAAATCTCCCACCTCAGGCTCCCAAGTAGCTGGGACCACAGGCATGTGCCACTATGCTTGGCTATTTTTTTTTTTTATGTTTCGTATAGATAGGGTCTCGCTATGTTACCCAGGCTGGTCCTGAACTCCTGGCCTCAAATGATCCTCCTGCCTTGGCCTCCCAAAGTGCTGAGATTGCAGGCATGAGCCGCCTCACCTGGCCCCTCTCCCAAACTTTCTTTTGAGGTTAAATAATGTAAAAAGGAAGAGTGTGTAGAACAAAAGTAATAGCTAATGTAAAAAAAAAAGTTTAAAACAAAAATTATCCATATCTCACTACTTAGAGATAACCATTATATATATTTTGACAACAAATACCCTTCTGGATTTCTGCATTTGCTCTGTCAGATGTTAGTTGAGGTGGGACAGGGAAAGGGGTTAAGGGAGGAGGCAAGGAAAGAAGGGTCAGAATGCAATTTATCTTACGAGGCGTTTTCCCATTTAGTAATACATAATCAACATCTCTGCATGTTTTCAAGTATATAAAGCTCCTTAGATCATTACTTATTCATAGTATTACAGGGATTCTATGTTTTCTCTATTATAAACTACATGTTGTTGAACTTCTTTCAAACTACATCTATTCATACAGCAAGTCATTTACTTTGTAAAAATTCCTAAACTTAAATATCTGGTTCAACACAAGTATGCAAAATTTTGTACAGATTTTATTTACCATAGAACTATGGCTACAAATTAAATGAAAATAATAGTAATAAATTATAATAATATAGGAGTCACCTCACAGATGTTTCCAGTCACAAAGTAAGGCTTTTCCTGCTTTGTACTTAAGTTGAAATCCCCCCAAAGTGCATAAAGGCGGATACATCCTTTCTAGGGTACCCTTTTCACCCTGTAGATGAACCCTGACGTGGCCAACTGATCTACCGACAGTAGTACACTCTAGATGTCTTTTATTAAAATAATAGATAATAGAGTAATCCACAAACTAGGACCTTACACACATACGCACAGAGCAAAAGCTCCTGAGGTGCAGAGCCTACAGGAAACCTCATCAAAAGCTCTGATGGCTCCTGTCGATGAGCACCTTTAGGAGGGGCTGCTGTTGTCTTAAGTCAGAACAGAGATAGTTTGTGCCTCTCCATTTTGAAATGCTCCAGATTTCCCTTCCCTGTCTTGGTCTCTCAGAGCCTAATGTCTGTGCTGGACTAGCATAGTCAGTCTTTGGTTATGTGTCTGTATTTTCTATTTAAAGTAGTCTAGGCTGGGTGCAGTGGCTCACACCTGTAATCCCAGCACTTTGGGAGGCCGAAGTGGGTGGATCACAAAGTCAGGAGTTACAGACCACCCTGACCAACATGGTGAAACCCCATCTCTACTAAAGATACAAAAAATTAGTTGGGCGTGGTGGCGAATGCCTGTAATCCCAGCTACTCAGGAGGCCGAGGCAGGAGAATCGCTTGAACCCGGGAGGTAGAGGTTGCAGTGAGCTGAGATCACACCATTGCACTCCAGCCTGGGAAACAGGGCGAGACTCCATCTCAAAAAAAAAAGAAAAAAAAAACATTAGTCGGGGTGGCGGCGGGCGCCTGTAATCCCAGCTACTCAGAAGGCTGAGGCTGGAGAATCACTGAACCCAGGAGGCAGAGGTTGCAGTGAGCTGAGATTGCACCACTGCACTCCAACCTGGGCAACAGAGGGAGACTCCGTCTAAAAAACTAAAATAAAATAAGATACTCTAAAGTAAATTATTTAAATAATTCTCATCTTAAGCAAGCAGTTTATTCAGCATGAGGTTCAAAGTAAATAACTTCAAATCAGATGGTCATGAATATAACTTCTTTAGTCATTCAAAACACTCAGATAAACAAGACGGATAACACTGAAATGAAATACAGACAATGCAGTGGATTTTCAACAATAACTACAAAAAGGACTGAACAAAGAGACAAACAATGAATGTGGGCTTGCCTAGGAAATACAGTAGAAATGTCAAAAAAAGTTAAATGAATGAGAGGGGTACTACAATCCTCCACCCCAGGAAACCACAGCAAGGTGCCGTGGATCCTCTCTGAAGCCTGACGTTCAGGTTGTTCATATTTTAGGTACCCTGGACACTTGCTCATAGGCCCTGCAAGAGGTTACAGCAGCTGTTCCCTCCCACAGGGCAAAGCCAGATCTCACAGCCACCTAGGCCTCCCCATGACAGGGAGTTGCTCCCTGGGACAAAGACCAGAATAGGAGGAGGAGGGAGAGATAAAAGGCTCAGATTTGCATAATGTGTCCCACAAATACCTAACCTTTATGCAAGAGGTGAGGAGGGCATAAAAGAGCCATTAGAGAGTCCAACACTAGCTGTGAGGCCAGTGGGCCCTTGGAACTTCAGCACCGTGGTCTAGACTCCTCTCCTCCTCCTCACTCAGTCACTGCCCAGGTTCACAGAGATTTCAGATCAGCCTTTAGAATGATTCTTCTGCCTTCTTTTGGGAGAAAGTGGGTCTAGGAAAAATAGAATGCAAATATTTTTCCAATCCATAGGGAACAATAAGAGGTATACTAGATGAAGAGTTTATGGTCAAATATTTTTTCAAAAAAAAAATCTCTCTATGATGTAATTCTGACTGATAATAGCAAAGAAAACAAGCTCCTTATTTTATATAAAAAATTTTTCTTTTTTTTTTTTTTTTTGAGATGGAGTCTTGCTCTGTCACCTAGGCTGGAGTGCAATGGCACGATCTTGGCTCACTGCAACCTCCACCTCCTGGGTTCAAGTGATTCTCCTGCCTCAACCTCCTAGGGATTACAACCTCCTAGTAGCTGGGATTACAGGCAGCCGCCACAACGCCCGGCTAATTTTTGTATTTTTAGTAGAGACAGGGTTTCACCATGTTGGTCAGGCTGGTCTCAAACTCCTGACCTCGTGATCCGCCCGCCTCGGCCTCCCAAAGTGCTGGGATTACAGGCATGAGCCAACGCGCCTGGCCTAAAAAATTTTTCAAAACAATGCAAGTTTACTACATAAAATCTGGCTTTTTTTTTTTTTTTTTTTTTTTTAATGATGTGGTCCTGCTCTGTCATTCAGGCTGGAGTGCAGTGGCACAATCACTGCTTATTGCAGGCTTGACCTCCCAGGTTCAAGCTATCCTCCCCTACCTCAATCTCCCAAGTGGCTGGGAACATAGGTGTGTACCACCACACTTGGCTAATTTATTTATTTTCTGTACAGCCTGGATCCCCCTGTGTTGCCCAGGCTGGTCTTGAACTTCTGGGCTCAAGCTATCCTTCCTCCTCAGCCTCCTAAAATTCCGGAATTACAGGCGTGAGCCACCATGCCCGACCTAGAAGTATTTGTTTCAAGGAGCATATTTAACTACGCCGTAAAGACCAAATAGTTCAGAAGTTAGATGTTACAATTTTAGTCTCTTCTCCTACTTCTTCTTTTTTTTTTTTTTTTTTTTTTTTTGAGACAGAGTCTCACTCTGTCACCCAGGCTGGAGTGCAGTGGTGCAATCTTGGCTCACTGCAATCTCTGCCTCCTGGGGGGGTCAAGCAATTCTCCTGCCTCAGCCTCCCGAGCAGCTGGGAGTACGGGCATCTGCCACCACGCCTGCTAATTTTTGTATTTTTAGTAGAGACGGTGTTTCTCCACGTTGGCCAGGCTGGTCTGGAACTCCTGAGCTCAAGTGATTTGCCCCGCCTCGGCCTCCCAAAGTGCTGGGATTACAGGTGTGAACCGCCGCGCCTGGCTGTTCTTTCACATATTTTCTCCATAGTTCAGATCACAATGTATACAAATTTTTTTCCTGCTAGTTTTCTTTCACATTACTGCAATCTATCTCTTTTAAAAAAAGTATATAGTGCAGCTATTTCAGCCAGGCACGGTGGTTCATGCCTGTAATCCCAGCACTTTGGGAGGCAGAGGCGGCTGACCACTTGGGGCCAATGAGTTTGAGACCAGCCTGGGCAATGTGGTGAAACCCCATCTCTACTAAAATTACAAAAAAATAATTAGCCGGGCGTGGGGGCCCGCGGCTGTAATCCCAGCTCCTCAGGAGGCTGAGGCAGGAGAATCTCTTGACCGCAGGAGGCGGAGGTTGCCGTGAGCCGAAATAGTGCCACTGCACTCCAGCCTGGGCGACAGAGTGAGTGAGGCTCCGCCTCAAAAAAAAACCAAACCAAAACAACAATAACGAAAAACAACAAAAAAAGTAGATTGTGCAGCTATTAAATGAAAAGTACAAAACTGTTCAGTTTCCAGGCATTTAAAATTATTTCTGGCCAGGCCTGGTGGCTCATGCCTGTAATCCCAGCACTTTGGGAGGCCGAGGTGGGCACATCACCTGAGATCAGGAGTTTGAGACTAGCCTGACCAACATGGAGATACCCTGTCTCTAACTAAAAAAAAAAAAAAAAATTATTTCTACTTTACATTTACATTAGTACAACCAAAGTATTGATGAATTATCTTACATACTCAATTTTGGATATATACATAAACATTCATTCTGTAAATTTTTATTGGATATGTTAAAAGCATCCCATGAGGCCAGCAGTGGCTCACGCCTGTAATCCCAGCATTTTGGGAGGCCAAGGCAGGTGGATCACCTGAAGTCAGGAGTTTGAGACCAGCCCGGCCTACATGGTGAAACCCTGTCTCTACTAAAAATACAAAAAATTAGCCGGGCATGGTGGCAGGTGCCTGTAGTCCCAGCTACTTGGGAGGCTGAGGCAGGAGAACTGCTTGACCCCTGGAGGCAGAGGTTGCAGTGAGCCGAGATTGCGCCATTGAACTCCAGCCTGGGCAGCAGAGTGAGACTTTGTCTCAAAAAAAAAAAAAAAAAGCATCCTATGAAAAAAATGAAATTATTACCTTTTTATTCATATATTGAAATAACTTCCAAAAAGGCTTATGCCAATTGAAACTCCTTTTAATACATCCTCACTGACAGTAAACATTACAATTTATATAATATTCATCAGTACGCTACCATTGCTTTAATTCCCATTTTTGTTTTTGCTATGGAGACTAAATATTTTGCATTTATTTACCAATCAGCTATATTTATTCTTTGTGAAATGGACAGGGATTTTTTTCTTTACAACAATTTTATAATAGTGCATTAGAGATTTGTCTTAGTAATCTTTTTTTTTTTGAGATGGAGTCTGGCCCTGTCACCCAGGCTGGAGTGCAATGGTGCGATCTCAGCTCACTGCAACCTCCACCTGCTGGGTTCAAATAATTCTCCTGCCTCAGCCTCCCAAGTAGCTGGGATTACAGGTGCCCACCACCATCATGCCCAGCTAATTTTTGTATTTTTAGTAGAGATGGGGTTTCACCACATTGGCCAGGCTGGTCTCGAACTCCTGACCTTGTGATCTGCCCACCTTGGCCTCCCAAAGTGTTGGAATTACAGGCGTGAGCCAACACACCCGGCCCCCGATTTTTCTTAGTAATCTTTGGAAACACTTCAGAAATATTTTTAATTAGCCCTTTCATAATCTCAGGCTATAATTTTCCTGTTTATATGCCATAAAATGTGAACATGTTACACCGTCAAATAAAAAAAGCAAGGTGCAGAAGACTGTGCATAATATAAATCAGTTATTTAAAAAAAAGAAAAGAAAAAATAAGAAACTATCTGAAAGGCTAAAAAAAGAATCTGAGTTGTTACTTTTTCGATGTTTGAAGAATGTGAATATATTATATACTCAACATTTTAAAATAAATGAACTTTAAAAAGAATCCTCTCAAAATGGTGTCAGCCACAATGGCACACCAGAGAGTGGGAAGGCAACACAATGACCATTAACTCAGTTTTAGCTGCCTTCCTTGTATCATAAAAACTTCTAATGTTCCATTTTCCCTGTGGTAACTTCCAAGATGGCCTCCAGTGATTCCCCACCCTCTGGTATTCCTATCTGTATATGGTCCATTCCCACATAGCATCAGGGTTGCTCTGGGTGACCAAGAGTATACAACAGAGTGAAGTTATTTTACCTCCAAGGCTATTATAAAAAACATTGCAATGCCTTCCTTGTTCTCTTTTGGATCACTCATTCTGTAGGAAGCCAGCTGACATGTCATGAGGACCATATGACAAGGAACAGAGGGAGGCCTCCTGCCAATACCCAAGTGAGTTTGAAAGCCCTAGTCAAGCCTTTCACATGATATGGCCCCAGTCAACATCTTAACTGCAACCTCATGAAAGAAGCTGAGACAGCACCACTCAGTTAAGTGACCCCAAATTCCTGACCCTCGGAAACCATGAGATAACAAATAGTGGTGGTTTTAGTTGATAAGTTTGCAGTAATATATTATACAGCAATAGGTAACTAATACAGATTTTAGTACCTGGAAGGGAGGTGCTGGTGTAATACCTAAAATGTAGGAGTGGCTTTGAAACTGGGCAGTGGGCAGAAGCTAAAAAATCTTCAAGGAGATTGTCAGTGCAAGCCTTAGTAGAAAACTGGACTCTGAGAAGGCTCTGGTGTAGCTTAAAATGAAGTGAGGAACATGTTATTAGAAAATTGAGCAAGGGGTTACGTAGTTACGTAGTGGCAGAAAGTTTAGTGACTATCACCTAGTCAGGTGAAAGTAGAAAATGTACCTGAGTCATCTAATTGAGATTTCCAGCCAGAATGCTGAAAGTGCTGATTGGTTTCTTCTTGCTACTTATAGTAAAATCTGAGGGGACAGAAACAAGCTAAGGGAAGAAGTGTTAAACAAAAAAGAGCCAAGAGCCAGTACCTGCTGGTTTTGAAAATTCCCAGTCTTTCCAGATGGCAAAAGATGCTAAAATTAACTGCTCCCAAGCAAAGGTTATATCCAGGGCACTAAAGAAAGGTGCAGAAATATGAAAGATGAGGGTAAAAATCCTTTTTACTTTTTCTTTGAGACAGAGTTTCACCCAGGCTGGAGTGTAACGGCTTGATCTCAGCTCACGGCAACCTCTGCCTCCCAGGTTCAAGTGATTCTCCTGCCTCGGCCTCCCGAGTAGCTGGAGTTACAGGTGCAGGCCACCATGCCCAGCAAATTTTTTTTTTTTTTTTTTTTTTTTTTTTTTTAGTAGAGACGGAGTTTCACCATGTTGGCCAGGCTGGTCTTGAACTCCTGACCTCAGGTGATCCACCAGCCTTGGATTACAAGTGTGAGCCACTGCACCCAGTCAGAGGGTAAAATCCTTTAAGGCTCTGAAAGATCAAAAATGATGCTTCAGAGTACAGTAGTCCCCTTTATCTGTGGTTTTACTTTCCATGGTTTCAGTTACCCACAGTCAATTGTGGTCCAAAAATATTAAACGGAAAATTCCAGAAATAAACAATTCATAGGTTTTAGTTTATTTATTTATTTATTTAATGACAGGGTCTTGCTCTGTCCTTCAGGCTGGAGTGCAGTGGCGTGATCTCGGTTCACTGCAACCTCTGCTCCTCGGCCTCAAGCAATCCTCCTACCTCAGTGTATTGAGTAGCTGGGATTACAAGTGCCCACCACCACACCCAACTAACTTTTGTATTTAAGTAGAGATGGGGTTTCACTATGTTGGCCAGGCTGTTCTCAAACTCCTGACCTCAAATGATCTATCTGCCTCAGCCTCCCAAAGTGCTGGGATTAGAGGCGTGAGCCACCACACTCAGCCAACAATTCTTAGGTTTTAAATTGCATGCCATTCTGGTTAGTGTGATGAAATCTAGTGCAGTGGCTCTGAGTTCCATTCAGGACATAAATCATCCCATTGACCAGCATCTCTATGCTGTGTATGCTATGCTCTTGTGGTGTTATAATATACATTGGTTTTGTCCACAGTTCATAACTCCCACAGCCCTTGTTACAGTCTTTTGTTATAATGTTCGGTGTTAGGCCTCAGAGGTAGGCTTCTGACCTTCTGCCATCCTTTTACCTGCCCCAAGGCAGGACTCTAATCTTTCTGATTGTGGGTTCTAAGACCCTCCCAAGAGAGAATCCTGCCCTATACTCTAGCGGGAGAGAATGCTTAAGTCATGAAGCTTCCATAAAAACCCAAGAAGACTGGGTTCAGGGAGCTTCCAGTTAGCTGAACAACACTTGGAGGTTCTTGGAGGTTGGCGCACTCAGGGAAGCCATGGAAGCTCCATACCTCTTTCCACACACCTTGCCCTGTGTGTCTCTTCATCTGTATCTTTTGTAATATCCTTTATAATAAACCTGTAAACGTGTTTCCTCAAGTTCTGTGAGCTATTGTGGCAAATTAATGAAATCCAAAGAGGGGGTTGTGAGAACCCCAACTTGAAGTCAGTCAGTCAGAAGTTCAGTATACCCAGACTTGGGAGTGGTGTCTGGGGGTATGGGGGGAAGTCTGGAGGACCGAGACCCTAACCTGTAGGATCTGACACTAAACTGTTCCAGGATTCCTGACACTCAGAGACTATGTGAGTTAATGTTTAAGCTGTTAGTTTTGTGGTAACCTGTTATGCAGCAACAGATAACACATTCCCTTCCCTGTTTGCAAAGCACACAATCCCACCCATCAAAAAACATGGAAAAATGGTACTAAGGTTTCGATGTGTATGTTTATACACACCCATGCACACATCCCTCAGACAGCTTTTCTGTCATTTCTGACATTGTGCCTCTTTCTACTGTTTTGGATTCTATCAATCCCTGGATAGGATCAAGGAATAACCCCATCCCATTCACATCCAAAGTTCTAAGCCATTAGCCCACATACATGAATACAGGGGAAGATACAAATGAGTCTAAGTTATAACTAGAGCAGGGGTCAGCAAACTTTTTTCTATAAAGTGTCAGGTAGTAAATATTTTAGGCTTTGCTGGGTGTATATGGGTCTCTGGCTCTAACAATGTTTTGAAAATTTAAACTTAGCCTAAAAGCCACAGTTTGCCAATGCTTGCCCTAAAGCTAAGAAAGACTTGTGTCTTAGTGGCAGTCTTGCCACACATTGATAATTGTTCTAATTTCAATCTCATAACCGGGAAGGAAAGAGTCTAAAAGGGCTAACCACTGAAATGGAATTTACTTTATTTATATGATGAATGCTTTTAAAAGACAAAATAACTCACTTATATAACATTTTTTTGAGAGAGTCTCGCTCCATTGCCCAGGTTGGAGCGCAGCAGGGTGATCTCGGCTAAGCCTCCACCTTCCACCTCCTGGGTTCAAGCGATTCTCCTGCCTCAGCCTCCCGAGTAGCTGGGATTACAGGCACACACCACCATGCCCAGCCAGTTTTTCTATTTTTAGTAGAGACGGGGTTTCACCATGTTGGCCAGGCTGGTCTGGAACTCCTGGCCTCAAGTGATCCGCCTGCTTTGGCCTCCCAAAGTGTTGAGATTACAGTTGTGAGCCACCATACCAGCATTTGAAAGAATAAAAATCACTATGGGATTAAGTAAACTCAATTGTATTTAGAATTTATCATTCTTTTCCATAGATGTTATCATGAATAATTACAATTGCAAAGTACATATAACTTTGTATGTTCCTTTCTTATTTTGCATTATAGCCAAATAAAATTGTGTACTGCAATAGCTCCTATAATCACTACTTTTGATAACTGAATACTGTTTGTAGTAGGTATATATTTAATAATTTGACTTTCAGTTTGGTTTCCAAGTTTTGGGTTTTTTGTTTGTTTTTGAGGCAGCATCTCTTGTCACCTAGTGGTACAATCATAACTCACTGCAGACCTCCTGGACTCAAGCCCTCCCGCCCCATCCTCTCAAGTAGCTGGTCAGACTACAGGTGTGCACCACCACGTCTTAATTTTTTTTTTTTGAGACGCAGTTTCACTCGTTTCCCAGACTGGATGGAGTGCAATGGTGCAATCTCAGCTCACTGCAACCTCCACCTCCCAGGTTCAAGTGATTCTCCTGCCTCAGCCTCCCCAGTAGCTGGGATTACAGGTGCCCGCCACTACGCCTGGCTAATTTTTGTATTTTTAGTAGAGACGGGTTTTCACCATCTTGGCCAGGCTCGAACTCTTGACCACATATGATCCACCCACCTCTGCCTCCCAAAGTGCTGGGATTACAGACATGAGCCACCACGCCCAGCTGGTTTGAATCCTTTGTTAAAGAAAATTAAAAAATAGGTTAGGCATAGTGGCACACACTTGCAATCCCAACACTTTGGGAGGCCAGGGCAGGAGGACTGTTTAAGCCCAGGAGTTCGAGACCAGCCTGGGCAACATAGCAGAACCCTGTCTCTCCCCAAAAAAAAAAAAAAAAAAAAAAAAAAAAAAAAAAAAAAAAAAAAAAAAACCCTCACAAAAAACAATGCTAAAGAAAGCGAATGAGATATAATGAATAAAAACAAAAATAGAGAAAACAAAACTAAAGCAAATGGGGGGTTGCTTCTTGGAAAAAGTAAATCAGAAACATTGATAAAACCAGGACGAATTAATGACAGGAAGAGGAAATACACTTTAATATTAGAAATGAGAAAGGAAGTGGGATTCCGAGTAGTTAAAACCATATCCTATCCCAAATAGAACTACTTTTGCTTCAGGAAAGGAAGGTTTCTAACAAGAAAGCTGTAAGTGCAACCAAGTAAAAACTTGGGTTAGTAAAGAAAATGATTGTCTTAATAGATGTTGTAAATTATAAAACTAAATAATTCTCTTTAAAGATTCTAAAAAATAGAAATAGAAACTTTTTTTTTTTGAGATAGAGCTTCGCTTGTTTCCCAGGCTGGATGCAACCTCCGCCTCCCAGGTACAAGCGATTCTTCTGTCTCAGCCTCCCAAGTAGCTCGGATAACAGGCATGCGCCACCATGCCTGGCTAACTTTTTTGTATTTAGTAGAGAGGGGGTTTCACCGTGTTAGGCTGGTCACAAACTCCTGACCTCAGGTGATCCACCCGCTTTGGCCTCCCAAAGTGCAGAGATTACAAGCATGCGCCACCACACCTGGCCCCAAAAATGGAAATAGAAATTATTTAAGCAATATACTTATTACCTTTAAGGGCAAATCATTTCTTATTAAAGCCAAGAACAAAGAAGCCCATTAACTCCATCTTAAATATTGTTTAGAAGTTCTGGCTGTAGTGCCGGGCACGGTGGCTCACGCCTGTAATCCCAGCACTTTGGGAGGCCGAGGCAGGTGGATCATGAGGTCAGGAGATCGAGACCATCCTGGCTAACATGGTGAAACCCCGTCTCTTCTAAAAAAAATATAAAAAATTAGCCGGGCGTGGTGGCGGGCGCCTGTAGTCCCGGCTACTTGGGAGGCTGAGGCAGGAGAATGGCGTGAACCCGGGAGGCAGAGTTTGCAGTGAGCCGAGATCAGGGGCCACTGCACTCCAGCCTAGCTGACAGAGCGAGACTCTGTCTCAAAAAAAAAAAAAGTTCTGGTGGTAGCAATAAGGCTAAAAATGAACACAAGTGGCAAAAAGGCAAAGATTATACAGTGGTACTAAATAAAAATTACAAACTAAAAATAGGCCAGGCATGGTGGCTCACTCCTGTAATCCCGGCACTTTGGGAGACCAACGTGGGCGGATCACTTGAGGCTAGGAGTTCAAGACCAGCCTGGCCAACACGATGAAACCTCGTCTCTACGAAAAGTACAAAAATTAGCTGGGCATGGTGGCACACGCCCATAGTACCAGCTGCTAGGAAGAATCACTTGAACTCAGGGGGTGGACATTGCAGTGACCTGGGATCGCGCCACTATACTCCAGCCTGGGTCACAGAGCGAGACTCTGTCTCAAAAAACAAAACAAACGTCCCATTTTACTTATGGTGGAAAAACAATACAGCAACAGCATTTTTTTCACAAAACATTTTATTACTATAATTGATATTTTACTTATAATTTTTGGCAACATTAATAAAATAATAAATTTCACCTGAAAGAACAAGCGAGCAAAATAGACAAGGAAATTCACAAAGGGCAATAACAAAATAGTAATCTTGACATATTCAATATATTTGTAAACAAAACAAAGTGACATTGCCTTAAAAATATATAGAGGTATCAATAGAAAAACAGAGAAAGCTCCTGAAAGAACTCACTATATTAATTTTCATTTGGTTGCAGGCACAGAAATTGACTCAAGCTAGCTCAATTCTAAGACAGAAGCAAAGCCCTTGATGATGATCGCTTTCCAGCTTTTTCATGAAAACCTAGGAAATTTAAATACTTTGAAGAGGAAGAAAAGAGTGGGGAGAGAGTAAAGTGCCTTTAAGAGGAAAAGTAGAAGTTTTTTTTTTTTTTTAAAGGGAGATCTCATTGTCAGTGGCATTTTAAGAGCCTTGAAGCTCAATGAACCAAAGGAAGTGTCAAACAATTAAGTGAGGTAGCAAGCCATGCAGGCCTAGGGGAAGGGCATTCTAAGAAAGACAACAGCATGTGCAAAGTCTTTGGATTGGGAAGAATGTGATTTGCTTAAGGAATAGCAAGGCCAGTGTGTCAAAATAGTGCATCATTGGGGAAAACAGTGGAGAAGCATGACAGAGAATGAAAAAGAGAGGAAGGAGGTAGGCAGGGGCCAGATCACTGGAATCTACAGTTGGCAATTAATGACCATATGTACTCCTTAAGAGCATGCTTTAATGAGACTGCAAACAACAGTGTTGATAATACCAACCAATCACTCAACATACAACTAAAACACTTCATATTTTTACCACAGAAACAGAATACGGGAGGTAAGTATGAAAAGTCTGTAGATCTATTTATACACAGTGGGAGTATCTACCTGAGACAAGAAAAACTGGCACACACACACCCACTTGCACACACATACCCTTTCTTCAACTAAAGAAAGGATTCAGGCTGTAATTTTAGCAAAGTGTCTTAACCCAAGCAACGTAACTGAAAAGACCTAGTATAGTGTTCAAGGTGCAAATCAATCAAATGAGTGTCCGGCAAATAAATACAACAGAATCTATGGATCTAGAGTCAGAAAATTTTCTAAAATGTAGATAATATACTCACAACTTCTTTGTTATCTGTACTGCCTTCTACTCTAAGAGGGATGCTAAGCTCTTAATTATCTCTTCCCGGATTTTTGTGAAAGCTTAGGAAATTTAACTAGATTGAGGAGGGAAGAAAGGAGTGGGGAGAGATAAGGTACCTTTAAAAAGAAATCAAGGAAAAAGGGAGAGATTTCTCCAGACCTATGTATGTCTACAGCCAAGATGGCGGATTCCTTGACTGGTGAAGACAGGCTGCTGGGCACCTTGGTCAGGGGTGGAGGAACAAAGGATGGCACCAGAACACAAGCAGGGAGACAACTCCGGGAGTCCACAGAGGCAGCCAAGACTGCTGATGTTCAGGAACCAATACTCAAAAGGTACTCCAGAATACTGTGAAACAGCCCCTGGGGAGAGCAAGGGAAAAAGATTCACCCATAGTACAGATTAGATAGGATAGATCAGATGAAGGACATTAACTCTAAGTCTTAAAACTTATTGAATTAGAGAGACATTTCTTGCACACTGGTGTGTGTCAGGTAAGACCCAAACAGCATTAGTGTCAAAAAACTGGGAAACTATACATTTAACAGAATAGCTGCAAGCTGTAATACATTCATGTCCAAAGCAAGACATAAAGTTGCAAGCTTCACATGTTCAATTAGGGTAAGATATATATGCACAGAAAAATATAAAGCCATTATGGGTTTAAATTCAGTCAGTCACCCTGGGCTATTTTTGTCCACTGTACCTACTGTTGTTGGGACAGTCCTCATTCCAGCTTAACAGTGGGAAAACTAAATTTAGCCCAGTCCAGGAACTGGACAGACACCACTTGTTTGGCCCTTTTCAGTTAAAACTATGGGTCCAGTACAGTTCAAATTATAGATATTAGGGCTTCTTCCCCTTGGGAAACTTGCTTTACAGCTGTGGCTGAGAATATGGCCAGTTCATTCTCCACTAACGGCTAGCCAGAAGGGAGAGGAGAGGGAATGAATCAAATTCACCTTTAGATCACAGAACAGGAAGTCAGCTAGTACCAGGCACCATTCTATTAATTTTATTGCTATTTCACCTCAAACCAATGATACATGACGGCTGTTTGATGTCTGCAGGGGCCCTTCACCAAACAAAAGCATTTTACTTTGAATGGTTTGGCTTCCTTGGATGTTTTCAGGTAGGTAAAGACACTCTGAAGCAGTGTTCCTTTTGACCTGGCCCCAAGACTAGAATGAATGTGTGCCTATACTTCAACTAGAACAAAGAACCACTGCTCTCCCTCAACTAACCTCCGCCTTCTTGGTCTCTGCTCACGCAGCAGCTTCTCTTTCAATTCCACATCCTGGCTTTTCAGAATCTTTTCAGGTTATTTTATGCCAGCACAGCAGAGGCACTTCTGGGAATTCGGCAGCAAGTGGGCCAGGGCATAACAAAGCCATTCCAGTCTGACTAGAGTTAACCATGAAATGCTGAATGCATGGAAAAAGCTGTAAAGAAAACTAAGTATTTCAAAAATTCTATGAATTCTGTATATAGAAAAAAGAGCTTTCAAGCTTAGGAGTAACATGAAATACCAAAACAATAAATAGGTGCCAGGGGCAGTGACTCACACAACCCAGCACTTGGGGAGGCTGAGGCAGGAGGCTCCCCTAAGGTCAGGAGTTCGAGACCACCCTGGGCGACATAACAAGATTCCATCGCTACAAAAAATTAAAATAAAAAATTAGCTGGGTGTGGTGGCTGCGCCTGTAGTCCTAGCTACTCTCCAAAGGCTGAGGCGGAGGAATGCTTGAGCCTGGAAGTTCAAGGTTGCAGTGAGCTAGGATCACGCCACTGCACTCCAGCCTGGGTAACAGTGAGACCCTGTCTCTAAAGTAAAAAAAAAAAAAAAAAAAAAAAAAAAAATTAAAATTAAAAAAATAAATTAATACCTTTTTCTCTCTCTCACACACACACACAAACACCTTTTATGTGTTAAGCCAGATACAGTTAACATGAAAACCAGATGTTTTAAAATAATACCTCAAAATTCAGATCAAATAATATATATCCTGAATCTTGTTTAAAAAGTCATATATAATCCACTAGTTTCACTATTTTTGGTGCTACTGAATAATGTATGGTTTGTATTTTTTGTTTTATGAGGTTTTTTAATTTGGTTTGAAATACTTGCTTTAGATTTACTGAAACTAGAATTAATGGGACTTTTTTGAAATTTTGCTTTTAGACCTGGGGAGTGATGGTTCAGAGTCAGATGTGCTCACAGTTATGGATGCTACATCCACTGATCCTGGCTGAAGAGGTTCCAGCGACACTTGAATAGTAACTTTTGTTTCAGGAGGTAATCCTTCTAGTTGCTTAGGCTTCTTAAACATTTGATGACACTGGGTCTTGTGCTCCATTTTCTCCTTGAAAGTTAAAAACTGTAGCCGGCACTTGGAACACTGGTGTGCACTCTTTCCCCAGTGGCCCCTATAATGACACATGTATGGTGTTGCTGTTTTGAAAATTTTGAGACAAAAGGGACAAAGCAAATTCTTTGTGTTTTCATGGCACGTTCTAAAATGTGTTTCTACATCAGCAAAGACCGACGATCTATAATGGCAAACCTGGCACACATAGGGCATTTCGCCAGGCTTATGATGGTCCTTCATGTGTTGTAAGAGGACCTGATCTGTTTCAAATGACAATTCACAGATTTTACAGACAGTAGAGGGCTCCTGGGCAGTGTGGACATTTTCGATGTGACACTGTAGCTGGAAGGGAGTGGGAAACTGCCGGTGGCAGTGCTGGCAGGTGGTGTGGTTTTCCCAGCTGTCGTTCCTCTGCTTCTCAAATTCCAAATGATGCTTCACGTGATTCATAAACTTAACATTTTTTAGAACTTTCACGCAGCTGAGGCATTTAAAGGTGGTGTGAGTCTTCTGTTCCGGCTGCCCTTCTCCTTTATGCTGTCCATAGTAAAAGTCACTAAGTAACACAATGGGATTTTCTTTCTTGGGATCAAAGGTCTTGTTTTGACTTGTTAGACTCAAAATGTCTGTTTTTGCCAATTCATTTGCCCTATCAAGATTTGTATTTATAGGCTTGAAATGGATATTGTCCTTTGGAAAAGCTGCTGGAAAAGGTGCTCCATTCTGAACATGGCTTAATGAGGTATGAACATTATTTGAGGGTGTACTTTGCTGAGTATTCATTGTATGAAAGGTATCTGAAGGGAATGAAGCTGAAGAATTTCCTTCTATAATTCCATCCCTGAGTTTAGCCCTTTTGGGATTTATGCTGTTTACTTCGAAAGTGGAAAGTTGCTTTGATACACGAGGACTTTCATTTATACCTCCTACTGAAAGTGCTGTACTTACTGGATGATGCAATGAATCTGTGAATGTAATCAAAGGAGAAGGTAATTCTGAAGAGTTATTAGGCACAACTTGTGGTGAACTATTTCTATAATCAGGTTTAGACAAAGGCTCAATAATAATAGGACTATCTGTTGATCTCGATTCAAGTTGGGAAGCTGGCAGGACGGTCACTGCTTCTGATGTAACGGTCTCATGACTTTTAGGCTGCAATTTGCGAGCAGTATCTTTTCTAAGGTGATCATACTTTTTTCTCCTTGACCATGAACCCGGGGTGACTCTGTTCAAAATGTTTGAAACGACTGGTTTTGAATTTGAAGTCACCCCAACAAAGATTAGCTCAGCATCTTCATTTACATGTTCCACACCAACAAAGATGAGCTCAGCATCTTCGTCATCTACTTGTTTGGTTTCTTGTATGTTCTTCTGTGGTTCAGGCTCTTTCTCTTCCTCACATGATTGTTCCATTTTCTAATTTTTTTATTCCTGAATGGTGGGGCCACAAGTCCCAATGCTTCCTTTATATAAACTGCCACCTAAGTACAAACATACATCAGTAAGTACAGGAAAATGCATTACCTTATTTAATTTTCCTCCAAAACATTGTTTTTATAAACCACTATTTTACCCACAAGGACACTGAGACTGAAAGAGGATAAATAACAGCTTAAAACCTGTGATAAAAGATCAGGTTCCTATGAATCTAGAATCATAACTTTGCTGTACTGATTGTGCTCTATTCCATTTTAAAAAAAAAAACCTACCAGCAGCTAATCACTAGGCAAAATTATATGGAAAAGACACACATTTTTATGAGGGCATCATTGTGCAGTGTTTAGAAACATGGGCTTTGGAGTTGAAGAGTAAGCTGGAATCCTTAGTCTGCCACACACCAGATGCTTCCTCTTTAGCAAGTTTTTTACTTTTAAATGTATTTTGCTATCTTAAAGGCAAAAATTCTTATTTCTTAGACTTACAGTAATAGCTGGTTTTTTAAAAGCACCACCTATTCAATGGCAGCTTGATTTGTAGTGGAATTGGAAGAAAATTACAATAAATGAAAATATCTCAATTGATTCATATATAGTAATCTCATAAACATTAATATAGAAAAGAGGTATTAAATTTATAGAGTTAGAGTACCTACACATAACCAACAAACAGCATAGCACAATGTCAATTGCCAGGCAGATAATCTCATCCCAACTCATGGCCTTAATTATAATCCATTCAGTAATGCCTCCTAAATTTTCCCCTCCAGTTCTGACTTACCCACTGAACTTAAACACAACAGTGCTTCCTCCTCAATCTCTTCTCCACATAGCAAGCAGATTGATTGTGTTAAACAAAGTCAGACTGTATCATTGTTCAGCTCAAAACCCTCAAACGGCTTTCTGATTAACTGAGAGTAAAAGACCAAGTATTACCAATGCCTAGAAGACTACACTACCAACCCCACATACTGCTCCTGCAGTTATCTCATACTACTCTCCACTATCCACTTCACTGTAGTCACACTAACCTCCTTGCTATTTATTTTAATTTTTTAAATTAAATTTTATTTTTTTGAGATGGAGTCCCGCTCTATCACCCAGGTATATATTTCAGCTCACTGCAACCTCCACCTTCCAGGTTCAAGTGATTCTTGTGCCTCAGCCTCCTGAGTAGCTGGGACTACAGGCATGCACCACCACACCCAGCTAATTTTTGTATTTTCAGTAGAGATCGGGTTTCACCATGTTGACCAGGCTGGTCTTGAATTCCTTATCTCAGGTGATCCACGTGCCTTGGCCTCCCAAAGTGCTAGGATTACAGGGGTGAGGAACTGCACCTGGCCCTCCCTGCTATTTCTTGAACATACTAAGCTCTTTTCCTTGCTCAAAGCCCTTGTTCCTTCCAATATGAATGATCATTTGGGTATCCGCATGGCTAGCTCCTCACTGCCCTTAGGGCTCTATTCCAAGTATCCCTCTCGGTGAGGTTCTCAAATATTCCAACCAACCTCTAACCCACATTCCTAATCTCTTTTCCCTTTTCTTTCATCCCCAAAGCCCTATCACCATTTAACATATTACGATCCTATTTATCTTGATTATTTTCTATTGTCCATCCAGTGGAACATAAAACTCAAAAGGGCAGGTATTCTATCTTTTGTTGACTGTTGTATGCCCAGCACAAAGAACAGTGTCTGGCACAGGACAGGTGCTCAACAAATACAGAATTTGTTAAATGAATCAATAAATATCGACTCTCCTTCATAAGATCCTTTATTTTTAAAGAAGATTATGCTCCATTAATTCCACATTTTCTATGAATTTACTCTGAGAACTTTATCCATTGGAAATTCCGTAGGCCAATAAAGGACTTAAAGCTAGCTTTTTACAAATATTTGACCACAACCAATAGTTTAAAAAAAAAAAAGTTATATGGAGTCCAATTACACAAGCACATACACATAAATAATAACTACCTTTACTACACAGGCTGCATTCTAAAATTTTCTATTTCATTTTTCTTGTCTTTTTTCTTTTTTTTTTTTTTTTTTTGAGACGGAGTCTAGCTCTGTCGCCCAGGCTGGAGTACAGTGGCGCAATCTCAGCTCACGGCAACCTCTGCCTCCCGGGTTCAAGCAAGTCTCCTGACTCAGCCTCCAGGGTAGCTGGGATTACAGGCACATGCCACCACACCCAGCTAATTTTTGTATTTTTTAGTAGAGACGGAGTTTCACTGTGTTGGCCAGGCTGGTCTTGAACTCCTGACCTTGTGATTCACCAGCCTCGGCCTCCCAAAGTGCTGGGATTACAAGCATGAGCCATGGATTACAAGCCTGAGCTGTGCCCAGCCTCATTTTTCTTAAACTAACCACAGACCCACAAAATCAGTTAAGCCTCATCACTAGGTCACTACTAGTTGTTTCAAAAACTGGTCTAATGCTAGCAAAATGTACGCACTAGAAACCAAGGTTCATAACTCACCAATTTCTAAAAACATATCAAGATTCACTGTATCCCCATGTGGACCCTTCAAATCAGCATAATCCAAAGCATAAAAATTAAATTGACATCTAATAAATGCCATGCACATTTGTTTTAATTTTAATTAGGATATCAGTATCTAATTTTGGAACATATAGACAATATTTATTCCTATAAATATGTGTATCACCTTGGAAGTGAATTTAAAAAGGAATACAATATTAAGTAAGCATTGTCAACTATATACAAACTGGTGTATCATGAATAGTGATTTACAACTTAATCAGTAGATATATAATGCCAGAAAAAATATAAGGCAGATATGAATACACTGCTCTCTGGAGTCAACTAAAATTGGTTTAGTCTGTCTATATACAACTTCAATCGCCTAACTCCAGGATGATGTCACCTAGCCCAGTGTTTCCTAAGCATTACTGACATTTGGGACTAGATAATTCTTTGCTGGGGGCTGTCGAGAGCACTGTAGGATGTTTAGCAGCATCTGTGATCTCTACCCACTAGAAACCAGCAGTAGTCCCCCAGGGTGGCAACTAAAAATGGCTCCAGGAATTACCAAATGTCCTGTGGGAAAACTCCTGCCCAAATCCAATCTTCTCAGGATCACTTCCACATTTCCAGTAACTACCTTCTACATAATTCTAAATGTATTTTCTAACATCCTCTCTAAAGAAAATATCTGGCTGGGCACGGTGGCTCATGCCTGTAATCCCAGCACTTTGGGAGGCCAAGGCAGTTGGATCACAAGGTTAGGAATTGGAGACCAGCCTGGCCAACATAGTGAAACCCTGTCTCTACTAAAAATACAAAAAATTAGCTGGGCCTGGTGGTAGACACCTGTAATCCCAGCTACTTGGGAGGCTGAGGCAGGAGAATCGCTTGAATCCAGGAGGCGGAGGTTGCAGTAAGCCAAGACCACGTCACTGCACTCCAGTCCGGGTGACAGTGCGAGACTGCATCTCAAAAAAAAAAAAAGAAAATATTCTAATTCACAATCATTAATATTCTCCAATATCCTAAAAAATCAGACTATAATCTGACAACATGGCCATTAGATTTATCTGAAGATTAATTAGTTTATTATTGTTATTATTTTTTCTTTTTCAAGACGGAGTCTTGCTTTGTCACCCAGGCTGAAGTGCAGTGGCACGATCTCGGCTCACTGCAACCTCTGCTTCCCAGGTTCAAGTTATTCTCCTGCCTCAGCCTCCCGTGTAGCTGGGATTACAGGTGCGCCACCACGCCCAGCTAATTTTTGTATTTTTAGTAGAGACGGGGTTTCACCATGATGGCCAGGATGGTCTTCATCTCCTGACCTCATGGTCTGCCTGCCTTGGCCTCCCAAAGTGCTGGGATTACAGGCGTAAGCCACCATGCCCGGCCAATCTGAAGATTAATTTTTAAAGCCCCCAGAAGTTTATGATTTACTAAAGTTATATGGAGGGTTTGTAGACAGAGTTAGCACTAAGATGCCTAATTCCTGAATTCTGGTTTTGTGCTCTTTCTGCTAAAACTGACTTAGTGCACACTTATTTCTGATGATATTGCTGTTAACTGCTTAGTCTTTAAGAATTAAAGTGTCTCATTGGATTCATTTTTTCACTCTCTATTTTGTAAACCTGTTCAAACCTCCTCTACCTCCCAGAAAATGTCAAAGTACCTTATAAGCCATTTTAAATAACTTTTAGAGCATCACTCATTCTACCTCTCATGTCCATTCCTATTAATGGCCCCCAGCCCAGGCCGCAACTTCTAGGTTTAGGTCCACTGGTTACTTCATTTTTGTACACTTGTACTAGACCCTAAATTGTTCTGTCTCTTTTCTCTGTCCTTCAAATTATATAACACAACACCACAAGATGGATCTTAAAACACAACTGTAATTATATCACTCTTCTATCCCTAAGCGTTAAATGATTCCTCCAATTCTAGAGAATATTTTAGGTATACATAATTTGTGTTATGCTATGGGCTGAACTGTGTTCCCCCCACCCCCAAATTTGTATACTGAAGCTATAACCCCCAATGTGATGGTATATAGAGATGGTGGCTTTGGGTAATAATCAGGTTAAGATGTATTCATGAGGATAGGGCCCTCATGATGTGATTGGCGCCCTTATAAGAGGAGATATCACAGACCTTGCTTCCTCTTTCTGTCATGTGAGAACACAGCAAGAAGGCTGTCATCCACCAGCCAGGAAGAGAGCCTTCACTAAGGAACCAAATCGTCCAGCATCTTGATCTTGAACTTCCCAGCCTAAAAATGTGAGAAATGAATTCCTGTTGTTAATAAACCATCAAACAAGTAAAGAAGAAAAACTTAAACTGGGTTCTAATGACACTGCTGGACTTCCTAACCAGTTGCTCTTGGTTAGATTTTTGGCTGTTGTCCATACTGATTAACCCTCCATCCAACCATCAATCAAGGTGAAAAAGAGGAATAGAGCAAGGATCAGGAACAAAGCTAATAAGTTAATGAACAAGTTCATTAAGAACAAGAGTAGCATTAGACCATGAGAGTTTTCTTCTCCTCTAGATGTCCAGAGACCCTTCTCTACAAATGTCCACCAATGGATGAATGAATGCTTATTTTCCAATTTGCCAGAATCTTGAGATACTGGGGTAGGGAGGTTAGACATGCAAAGATATATCAGATCTAACAGGTTTGTCCTCAAAAATCAATTCTCACCTCCCATGATGGGAGAAGCCAATAGGAGGGCTTCAATTCCAAAGAAAGCTGAGAGATCAGTGGATGATAACCCACCTTCCAGATTATTTCTATGCATTCAAACAATGGCCCTTCTACTAGATCATTGTTTTTTGTTTTTTTTGAGATGGAGTCTTGCTCTGTCACCCAGGCTGGAATGCAGTGGCGCAATCTCGGCCCACTGCAATCTCTGCCTCCCGGGTTCAAGCAGTTTTCCTGCCTGAGGAGCTGGGATTACAGGTGCGTGCCACCACGCCTGGCTAATTTTTGTATTTTTAGTAGAGATGGGGTTTCACCATGTTGGCCAGGCTGGTCTCAAACTCCTGACCTTGTGATCTGCCTGCGTCGGCCTCCCAAAGTGCTGGGATTACAGGCGTGAGCCACCGTGCCCAGCCTCTAGTAAACCATTGTTATAACCACACACGAGTTTTTAACCACACACATACTCTTCTGAGGAAAGGCTTCCCCAAACTATTGGTCCTTATGATGAGATCTGGCCATATATATTTTTCTTCTGAACCCCAGGATTGTGGGGCTGTCACATTTCCTCTAACAGTACACCTTAGGAGCTCCCAGACTTGAAGAAAATTGGCTGTTTCCCACATTTGAACATTTTCCACTTTTTCCCTCAGTCTACCTTTTTGAATTGATTTCTGACTACTTCTAGATAACCTTTTTCCATTAATGAATATTGAGTGCTTATTGTGTGCCAGGCACTGCTTTAGGCACTTGAGAGAAATCGGTAAACATTAACAGACAGAAATGAACAACAAAAACAAACTATTTCAACAGAAGGAACTAACAAACAGTCCAGTGGAGGAAGAAAGATAGTAAGTATAATAAAAATGCAAATTCTCTGGTGAACTGGAAGATGACGTTATAGAATTAGGAAAAAAATAATAGAGCAGGCTTAGAAGTTGAGGAGGTATAAGAGAATTGTAATTTTACGTAGTGTAGTCAGAGTAAGTCTCATGGAGAAGGTAAATTTGGACATACACTTGAAGGGGATAAAAGGTCAGAGAGGTAGCAAGAGTGGAAATAGTAGTAAGGATCTGTAAATTCTTCATTTTTCTCTCAGTTTAGTCTGTGGCAACTGTCATGTCTTTTGATAAGGAACGACCTTGGTTTAATAGTTACTCCCCTCCTAGACTCTCAGGCTAGATTTTTTTTTTTTTTAATTGAGACGGAGTCTTGCTCTTGTTGCCCAGGCTGGAGTGCAGTGGCACAGTCTTGTGCACAGTCTTGGCTCACTGCAAACTCTGCCTCCCAGGTTCAATTGATTCTCTTGCCTCAGCCTACCAAGTAGCTGGGATTACAGGCGCCCACCACCATGCCTGGCGAATTTTTGTATTTTTAGTAGAGATGGAGTTTCACCATGTTGGCCAGGCTGGTCTCGAACCCCTGACCTCAGGTTATCCACCCACCTCGGCCTCCCAAAATGCTGAGATTACAGGCGTGAGCCACTGCGCCTGGCCTTTTTTTTTTTTTTTTTTTTTAAGATGGAGTCTCGCTGTGTCACCCAGGATGGAGTGCAGTGGCACAATCTCAACTCACTGCAACTTCTCCTGAGATGCTTGTGCCTCAGCCTCCTGAGCAGCTGGGACTATAGGTGTGCGCCACCATGCCTGGTTAATTTTTTGTATTTTTATTAGAGATGGGGTTTCCCCATGTTGTCCACACTGGTCTCGAACTCCTGACCTCAAGTGATCCACCCACCTTGGCCTCCAAAAGTGCTGGGATTACAGGCGTGAGCCACTGTACCTGGCCTCTCAGGCTAGTTTCAACCCTATTTTACACTCCTCTACCATCCTCAGCTTACTTTTGAAAAAGTATTTATTAAAAAATATTTATGAAAAAGTTATTTTTGTTTTATTTAGTTGCCCTGGGATGGAATACAAATGTTTGCTGTAGTTTTAAGGATCCTATAAAACTCCCATTTACTGCAAGGATCTCTGTTTAATGGGCATTCAATTCTAAGATAGCAAACGTGTAGAGTTATTTGTGGGGGTGGGGGACAAGTTTGAGAAAGAAGCAGTGGGGTGAAGAAAGTGATAGGCAAGGGAAGATGGTGGGGATAGGTACCATAGGAGTCCTGGTGGCCTAAAATCTAATCACAGAAGTTACTCAAGTGGGACTGATGCCTGAAAAAAATTTGTGTGTGGCTATAACAGTGAGTGGGATCTACTCTTTTTTTTTTTTTTTTTGAGATGGGAGTCTCGCTCTGTCACCCAGGCTGGAGTGCAGTGCCGTGATCTCGGCTCACTGCAACCTCCACCTCCTGGGTTCAAGCAATTCTCCTGTCTTGGCCTCCCAAGTAGCTGGGACTACAGGCACATGCTACCACGCCCATCTAATTTTTGTATTTTTAGTAGCGACGGGGTTTGATCATATTGGTCATGCTGCTCTCAAACTCCTAACCTCAGGTGATACACCCGCCTTAGGCTCCCAAAGTACTGGAATTACAGGCGTGAGGCACCGTGCCCAGCCTGGGATCTACTCCTAAGCAACAGAGAAAATCAGTCATTTTTCCCCTTTTCCTTCCCTTCCTCCTATGAGCAGAATCTTGGTCTCCATCTTTAAAAAAAAAAAAAAAAAAAAAAAAAAAAAAAAAAAAAAAAGGCCAGGCACAGTGGCTCACACCTGTAATCCCAGCACTTTGGGAGGCCGAGGTAGGCAGATAACCTGAGGTCAGGAGTTCGAGACCAGCCTGACCAACATGGTGAAACTCCATCTCTACTAAAAACACAAAAATTTGCCGGGAGTGGTGGTGGGCGCCTGTAATCCCAGCTACTTGGTAGGCTGAGGCAAGAGAATCAATTGAACCCGGGAGGCGGAGGTTACAAAGGAGATTTGACAGGGTGGCAGTTCAAACTAAAAGTGGTCTGATAGTTCAGAGTCAAGTTTCTTCACTAAAGCTGAGTTTTTAAAGGGCTTGAAGAATGATGTAAAGAGGGGTTGTGGAGGACCACAAAAAAAGACAACTAAAAAAAGGCATAACAAAGTCAACTTATTAAATGCCCAGCAACAGGGTGAAGTTAAGGGGAATGGTGGAATAAAGACCTACAAATAGCTGCTGCTTCATAAAAGCAAAGAGAACACTAGCAAAAACTACAAAAATCACGTTTTTCAGATCCTGGAAATTAACGAAAGCTTGTAAAACTCAAAAGATTTTATTACAAAATGGCTTGGCAGTTCCTCAAAATGTTAAACATAGACTTATGATCCCACAAATCTAAGTATACACTCAAAGAAATAAAGGTACTCAAGTACATGTATACTTGTTTATAGCAACAACTCATAATAATCAAAAGGTGGAAACAACCTAAATGTCCATCAATGGATGAATGGATAAACAAACCATGGTATATACATACAACAGAATGTTTATTCAGCCATAAAAGAAACGACATACTGATACATGCTACAACAGGGTAAACCCTGAAAATATACCATGTAAAAGAAGTCAGTGACAAAAGCTCATATATTGTATGATTTCATTTACAGGAAATATCAGAAATAGATAAATCCATAGATATTAAACAAAGATTTGTGGTTGCCAGAAGATAGGAAAGGGAAAATGGTGAGAAACTGCTTAATGGGTAAAGGGGTTTTACTTTGGAATGATGGAAATGTATCAGAACTAGATAGAGGCAGCACACGTACAATATTACAAATGCACTAAATATCACTAAACTGTTTATTTTAAAATGACTGATGTTATGTGACTTTCACCTCAATGAATTATTTTTTAAAAATAAAGAGGGTATATTACTACCAACCACACAGAAATAAAGAGAATTATAAAGGAATACTATGAAAAATTATCTGTCAACAAATTAGATAACCTAGATGAAACAAATTCCTAGAAAGACAGGAACTAATGAACTGACTCAAGAACAAACAGAAAATATGAATGGATCCAAAACAAGCAATAGAATTAGTAATCAAAAAACTTCCCCAAATAAAAGCCCAAAATCAGATAGCTATGCTAGTAAATTCTTAACGTTTTTAAAAGAATTAACACCAATCCTTCATTAACTCTTCCAAAAATTAGAAGAGGAGAGAAAACTTTGCACATCTTTCTATGAGGCTAGTTATTACTCTTACACCAAAATCAAACCAAGAAATCATATAAAAAAAAAGAAAACTACAGGCCAATATCCTTTTTTTTTTTTTTTTTTTTTGGAGACGGGGTCTCGCTCTGTCGCCCAGGCTGGAGTGCAGTGGCGTGATCTCGGCTCACTACAAGCTCCGCCTCCCAGGTTCAGGCCATTCTCCTGCCTCAGCCTCCCGAGTAGCTGGGACTACAGGAGCCCGCCATCACGCCCAGCTAATTTTTTTGTATTTTTTAGTGGAGACGGGGTTTCACTGTTTTAGCCAGGATGGTCTCAATCTCCTGACCTCGTGATCCGCTCGCCTTGGCCTCCCAAAGTGCTGGGATTACAGGCGTGAGCCACTGTGCCCAGCCAATATCCCTTACAGAGGCAAAAATCCTCAACAAAATGTTAGCAAACAAAATCTAACAACATATATAACGATTACATACCATGACCAAGTGGGATTTATTTAAAAAATACAAGGATGGTTCATTCTATGAAAATCAACCAACAATAATTTTATTTTTATTATTTTTAATTTTAATTTTTTTTTTGAGTCGGAATTTCATTCTTGTTGCCCAGGCTGGAGTGAAATGGCACGATCTTGGCTGACCACAACCTCCGCCTCCCGGGTTCAAGCAATTCTCCTGCCTCTGCCTCCCAAGTAGCTGGGATTACAGGCATGCGTCACCACGCCCAGCTAATTTGTTTGTATTTTTAGTAGAGACATGGTTTCTCCATGCTGGTCAGGCTGGTCTCGAACTCCCGACCTCAGGTGATCCGCCTGCCTTGGCCTCCCAAAGTGCTGGGATTACAGGCGTGAGCCACCATGCCCAGCCTATACCATTTTAATAAAGGACAAAAACTACACCTGCCTGCAGAAAAAACACTTGACAAAAGCTAACATCCTTTTATGATTTGAAACAACAAAACGATTGGGAATAGAAGGAAACTTTCTCCACCAGACAAAGGCATCTGTATGAGACTCACAGCTATTATAGTATCATACTTAATGGTGACACTGAAAGTACCCCTGCCCCTAAGATCAGGAACAAGACAGATATCCACTTTAACCACTTCAACTCAACACCGTACTAGAGGTTCTATAGCCAAGGTAATTAGGCAAGAAAAGGAAGCAAAAAGCATTCAGATTGGAAAGCAAGAAGTAAAACCATAATGGAGATGACAAATACAAATAACTCAATTTTTTAAAAGGCCAAAGAACTTGAATAGACATTTCTCCAAAGATGATACACAAAAGACCAAGTAAATATATTCAGTGTCATTAATCATAAAAGCAATGCACATTAAAACCACCTTGAGATACCACCTCACACCTAGTAGGATGACTACTATTAAAAAACAAACATTGTTGGAAAGAAATTAGAATCCTCATGCACAGTCACTGGATTGTAAAATGGTATAACTACTATGGAAAACAGTACAGAAATGCCTCATAAAATTAAAAACAGAACTACTATATGTTCTAGCAATCTTACTTCTGGGTATATATCTAAAATAATTGAAAGCAGGGTCTCGAAGAGATACTGGCACACCCATGTTCACAGAAGGACTATTAAAATAGCCAAGGGGTAGAAGCAACCCAAATGTCTACCCAAAAATGAATAAACAAAATATTATATATATATATATGCACACACACACAATAGAATATTATTCAACCTCAAAAAGGAAGAAAATCTGTCACATGCTACATGTTTGAACCTTGAGGATATTATGCCAAATAAAATAAACCAGTCACAAAAAGACAAATACTTTTGTATTTGTATAATTCCACCTATATGAGGTAACTAAAATAGTCAAATTCATAGAAACAGAAAGTAGAGGCCGGAAGCAGTGGCTCACACCTGTAATCCCAGGACTTTGGGAGGCTGAGGTGGGCAGATCATCTGAGGTCAGGAGTTCGAGATCAGCTTGGCCAACATGGCAAAACCCTGTCTCTACTAAAAAAAATACAAAAATTAGCCAGATGTGGTGGCAGGCACCTATAAACCCAGCTACTTGGGAGGCTGAGGCAGGAGAATTGCTTGAACCCAGGAGGCGGAGGTTGCAGTGAGCTAAGATCACGCCACTGCACTCCAGCCTAGGCGACAAGAGAGAAACTCTGTTTCAAAAAAAATTAGCTGGGCGTAGTGGTGGCACACACCTGTAGTCCCAGCTACTCGGGAAGCTGAGGCAGAAGAATCCCCTGAATCTGGGAGGCAGAAGTTGCAGTGAGTGGAGATCGCACCACTGCACTCCAGCCTGGGCAACACACCAAGACTCCGTCTCAAAAAAAAAAAAAAAAAAAAAACAAAAAACCAAAAAAACAAAAAACAGAAGGTAGAGTAATGGTTACCAAGGGCTAGGGGCAGAGGAAAAGGGTGAGTCTGTTGTTTAATGGGCATTGTTTCAGTTCTGCAAGATGAAAAAGTTCTAGAGATCTGTTTCACATCAATGCTTGAAACTACTGAACTATTAATTTAGAAATGGTTAAGGTGGTAAATTATATGCGTTTTTACCACAATAAAACAATTCATTTTAAAAACAGGCCCCAATCGGCATGGTGGCTCACGTCTATAATCCCAGCACTCTGGGAGGCCAAGGTGGGAGAATCACTTACAGTCAGGAGTTTGAGACCAGCCTGGCCAACATAGCAAAACCCTGTCTCTACTAAAAATACAAAAATTAGCCGGCATGGTGGCACGCGCCTGTAATCGCAGCTACTCGAGAGGCTGAGGCAGGAAGAATCACTTGAATCCAGGAGGCAGAGGTTACAGTGAGCCGAGATCATGCCACCACACTCCAGCCTGGGCGACAGAGTGAGACTCTGTTAAAAAAATAAAATAAAATAAAAAATAAAAAATAAGCTAGACACAGTGGCTCATGCCTGTAATCCCAACACTTTGGAAGGCTGAGATGGGAGGATCGCTTGAGCCCAAGAGTTGAAGATCAGTCCAAGCAATGTAGTGAGACCCCTTCTCTACAAAAAATTTAAAAACACAGGCACAGTGGCTCATACCTGTAATCCCAGTATTTTGGGAGGCTGAGGCAGGAGGACTTAGTCAGCTCAGGAATTCCAGACCAGCTTGTACAACATAGTGAGACCCTACCTCTACAAAAAATTAAAAAATTAACCGGGCGTGGTAGAGTGTGCCCGTGATCACATCACTGCACTACAACCTTGGTGCCAGAGCAAGACTGTCTCAAGAAAAAAAAAAAATTTAAATTTAGCTGGGCATCATGGCACACGCCTGTAGTCCCAGCTACTCAGGGGTGGAATGAGGCAGGGTGGCAGCTGAGATGGGAGGATCACTGGAGCCTGGGAGGTTGATGTTGCAGTGGGCCATAATTGTGTCACTGTACTGCAGCCTGGGCAACAGAGCGAGACCCTGTCTCAAAAACAAACAATAAAAAATGGGCGAAGGATTTGAACACTTCTCCAAAGATACACAAATGGCCAAGCAGCACATGAAATGCTGCTCAATATAGTCATTAAGGAAATGCAAATCAAAATCACAATGAGCTATTACTTCACATCCACTAGGTTAGTTATAAGCAAAAACAATCTCAAGCGTTGCAGAGGATGTGCAGCTATCTGAACCCTCAAATACTGCTGGTGATAATATAAACTTGTACTTTGGAAAAGTTTGGCAATTGCTCAAAATTTAAATATGGCGTTACCATATGACCCAACAATATCACTCCTAGGTATATACCCAAGAGAATTGAAAATATAACACATATATAAGCTAGCTGGAATATAGCCATAATGCTGCTACAAAGTGCAAACAACCGAATGTAAATTAATTGATAAATGAATAAACGAACTGTGGTATATCCGTACAATGAAATACTATTCAGCCATAAAAAAACTAAGTACAAACAAGCATACAATACGGTGTACCTTGAAAATACACTAAGTGAATAACACCAGACACAAAAGGCCGCATATTTTATTATTTTACTTATACAAAATGTCCAGAATAAGGCAAATTCATACAGACAGAAATAAAGTAGCAGCTGCCATGGGCTCGATGAAGAAGAATGAAAGGAATATAGCAGGTTTGAAAAATGGCCCCCAAAATATCAGGTCCTAATCCCTTAAGCCTGTAAATGATACCTTATTTGGAAAAAGGATCTTTGCAGATGGGAAAATTATCCTGGACTATACAGGTGGGCCCTAAATGCCACCACAAATGTCCTTGTAAGAGAAGCAGAGGGAGATTTCACACATACTCTAGGAAAAGGTGATGTGAAGACAGAAGCAAAGATTAGAGTGACATGGTCACAAGCCAAAGAACGTCACATCCACAAACTAGAAGATGCAAAGAATGGATTCTCCGCTAGAGTTTCCCAGGGGAGGACAGCCCTGCCAACATCTTGATTTAGGTCTTGTGAAACTTATTTTAGACTTCTGACCTCCCGAACTAAGGGAGAATAAATTTTTGTTGTTTTATGCCACCAAGTTTGTGATAATTTGTTATAGCAGCTATGGAAAAGTAATATAGGGAGTGACTGCTAATGGATACAAGGTTTCTTTAGAGTTGATGAAATGTCTTGGAATTAGATATTGCTGATGGTTGTACAATTTTGTAAGTATATAATACTAAAAACCATTCAATTTCACACCGCAAAGGGTGAATTTTATGGCATATGAACTATATTTCAAAGAAAAACAAATGCCTAGTAACAGGCTGGTATAACCCCCCATCTCCCAACAACTGCTGCTAAATTTTCAAAGCACCATTAAGCAGACTCAATTCGTAGCAAGGATAATGGAACAATGCAAGCTCATCTAGCGAACAAAAAGAATTAAGCTAGTATCAGGTGGTCAATTTACAAACTGTAGTGGGAGTCATACATTCCCAAGGATGGAACAGTTATATCTCCTTGCAGAGTGAACTCTTCTCCGATACCAAGGACTTGGAAGACCAAATAAATTATACGTAGGATTACCAAATATGCTGGTATGACCAAGACAGTTATAGTTTAAACTTCTATCTCTGTGGAATTATGGATAGTGCCACTCTTCAATCTTTAATAAGTCCTTCAGTTTAGATGATAAATTACATAGTCAACCTAGTTATAAGGAATCTAGAGGTTGTGAAAAGCTGTGAGAGCATATTCTATGCAGACCACATAGGTCCTATCATGACTCCCTATGTAACTTGGGTCTCTGCGACTGGGAAGCTCCCAGGGAAAAAACCCCAGTTAAGACTTCTGCAGAGCATTCACATTTTGTTTCAAACTTATACAACACTAATGCTAAAGCTCAACTCTCAGAATTGTATTATTCAGTATTATCCAAATAACTGATTAATTTACACACTGAAGGGAAAGAACAAGGAATGGACCTAAACACACTTGTAGTTTACAAGTATAAGAAGCTAACAAAGAATAAGATTAAAATAACTTGTGCCAGGCCGGGCATGGTGGCTCACGCCTGTAATCCCAGCACTTTGGGAGGCTGAGGCAGGTGGCTCACGAGGCCAGGAGTTTCAGACCAGCCTGAACAACATGGTGAAACCCCATCTCTACTAAAAATACAAAAACTTAGCTGAGCGTGGTGGCACACGCCTGTAATCCCAGCTACTCAGGAGGCAGGAGAATTGCTTGAACCCGGGAGGCAGAGGTTGCAGTGAGCTGAGATTGTGCCACTGCACTCCGGCCTGGACAACACAGCAAGACTCCGTCTGAAAAAAAAAAAAAACAAACAAACAACTTGTGCCCACATTAACTAGGTGTTAAAAGCCAAAAGGTGAAAGTCACTATTCTCTTTTCACATATCAAATTGACCCTAAGGTAATATTGCTGCATTAGAACTGAGCTGGTGGGAGGGATGTTAAGAAATTAGGGAGAAATTGTTAATCTACAGAAAGACCATCATATAAGGTTCTGTGTGTAGCCAAACATACACATTTGATGTTCTGATGTTTGCTATTTTAGTGGAACTATAGCTATAAAATGTATTCAATCAGTAGAATTAAAACATATCCCAGTCCACAAAAAACTAAGAGAGAAATTATACAGGAATGATCAAGAATCTGCACAGTTCTCATAATCTCATTACTACAGAGAAAAGGAGAAAGGGAAGCATCAAGGTAGTATTTGAGACGAATTTAAGAAGACCACTCATTCAATAAAAGTTTGGTGGGCCAACAAGGTGCCATGTATTGGTCTGGTGATATAGCAGTGATCCAAAGTCTTTCACTTCAGGGAGCTGACATTCCAGAAGGGGTAGTCAGAAAATAATTTTTTTAACAAAAGTAACATGGTTATATAAACACTAGGGAGAAAAATAAAGTAGGAAATGGAGGCAGGTTGATACTCACATAACATGAATATGGCTATCTGGGGAAGAATACTCCAACAAAGGGAACAGCAAACACAAAGCCTCTGAGACTGGAGCACTTAACACATGCAAGGACTGATCAATAGGCTAACACAGGTGGACCAATGAAAAGAGTGACAAGTTAGAAATGAGATAAAAAATGAGCTGTTTGTGGCAAAGGAAAGCCAAGATCATGTAGGCCATTCTAAATTCTTCAGCTTTGGCCAGGTGTGGTGGCTCACATCTGTAATCCCAACACTTTGGGAGGCCGAGGCGGGTGGATCACCTGAGGTCAGAAGTTCGAGACCGGCCTGGCCAACATGGTGAAACCCCGTCTCTACTAAAAATACAAAACGTAGCCAAGTGTGCTGGCACGTGCCTGTAGTCCCAGCTACTCGGGAGGCTGAGGCAGGAGAATTGCTTGAACCCAGAAGACAGAGGCTGCGGTGTGCTGAGATCATGCCACTGCACTCCAGCCTGGGTGGCAGAGCAAGACTCCATCTCAAAAAAATAAATAAAAATAAAAATAAAATAATAATAATACAAAAATTAGCTGGGTGTGGTGGCGGGCACCTGTAATCCCAGCTACTTGGGAGGCTGAGGAGGAGAATCACTTGAACCCAGGAAGCAGAGGTTGCAGTGAGCCGAGACTGCGCCATTGCACTCCAGCCTGGGTGACAGAGCGAAACTCCATCTCAAAAAATAAGTACATAAATAGACAAAAAATAAAAACAAATTCTTCAGATTTTACCCTGAGTGTGATGAGAGATTACTGGAAGGCTCTGAGTGAGAAGTAATATGATCTCACTCATTTCATTAGGATTGCTGTGGCTACTGTGTGGAGAATAGACTTTAGAGAGTAATAGTGGAAGCAGAAGACAAGAAGCTACTGAAATATTATGAACAAAAGATGATGGTAGTATCAGACAGGATGGAGAAATAGAGATACTAAGAAGTCGGACTCTAGATAAAAATCTAGAAGGCCCACAAGGTTCATTGATGGATTGGGTTTGGGATGTGAAGGAGAGGAGGAGGACACACAAGAGGTAATGCTGAGCAGGTAAATCTATGAGATCAGAGCCCAAGGAAAGTTCCGAGGTAGGTACTTAAATTTTGAAGTCTTCAGTATGTAGCATTATTTAAAACACAAGACTGGATGAGATCACTCAGGGAAAAGAGGTCTGAGATCTAAGCTCTGGAGCATTCCATTGATTAGAGGTCATGGAGATGAGAAGGAGCTGGTAAAGGAAATTAAAAAAAAAACAATTATTCACAGCCATTCAGGTGGGAGGAGAATTGAGAAAGAGAAGCATCCCAGAATCCAATGGGGAGGAGAAAAGGAACTGTAATATATGCTGCCAATAGATCAAATAAAATCACGAAAATCAACTAAAACTGACCAATGGATTAAGCAAAGTGGAATTCATTGGTGACCTTGACAGCAGTGGGTTTAAGGAAGAACGAGAACAGGAGATAGCAAATACGGACAACTCTGGAGAAATTTTCCTGTAAGGACAAGCAAATACAAATTAAAACAAGCAGATGGGAGATGTGGCATCAAAAACGAGATCTTTAAGGTGAGGTGATGGTACAATCAGTATGTTTGCTATATTAATGATCTGGAGAGATAGAAAACTTAACCCTAGACAAAGAGAAGTCTTGCTAGAATAATATCCTTAAATAAACAAGTGCACATGTAGAGGTTCTGGCCTTAGCAAGAAGTCAAATTATTCACCCAGAGTAACAGGACAATGCTTTGAGATCCTATGGAAAAGGGTTAAATGGTGGATAAATGGTTGCGGTGGCCATCCTCCAAGATGGCCCTAAATGAATCCCACTTCCTGGAATTCACATAGTTGTAGCCCTCTCCCACTAACAGGGTTGGCCTGTGGGATCAAGCACATACAGCAGGAAGTGATGGTATGCCACTTCAGAAATTAGGTCATAAAGACTCTGCCCTTCATCTTGGGTACAAGGTCTCTTGAATCATTTGCTCTGAAGTAAGCCAGCTGCTGTGACATGAACAGCCCCATGGAGAGGCCCACAGAGCAAGGAACTGAGGCCTCTTGCCAACAGCCCAGTGAGTGAGCTTAGAGGCAGATGATCCAAACCAAGTCAATTCCGCAGAGACTGACAATCCAGCCAAGGGTTTCACTGAAACCTCATGAGTGACCTTGAGCCAGAAACAGCCAGCTAAGCCACTCTTGGATTCCAGACCTTCAAAAACTATGAGGTAATAAATTTTTTTTTAAACTACTAAGTTTTGAGACAATTTGTTACACGGCAATAGATAACTAATACAATGGGTCTCACTGAGCTGTAATCACAAATTGCTGGGCACACAATTCACTATAATCTCACCTACTGGCATGCAATGACTTCAGATGACCTCCCCTGTCCTGCTGCATGCAGTTACCTCATGAAATACAGTCGCTGAGAAAGAGGGTAGGATAAAAGGAGTCAGCTTTATATAACTTAACATCCCTGATGCTCTTTTTTTTTTTTTCAAGAGATGTGGTAAAAGAATGCCACTACCACCCTCTCCTTTCTCAACAAAGCAATTTAGAGGGTTCCCGAATGACCTACATCAACAATTGGCCTGAACTAATCAAACACATCATTCAGATTCCCTCAGTAAAATATTGAATACCAAACAGCTATGTTTCAGCAAAGGAAAGGGCAGGGGAGCGAAACTGAAGGACGAAAATACAACTTTGGTCCTCATCAGGGAGACTTCTCTTTTCTTACCTCAGGTTTATTACAACGCAACTTTTAAGAACTTGAGCTATTCCAGGCAGAAGGTCACATCCTTGAGGTAACCAGAGAGAAGCATTAGTTACTTACATGTCACAAGAATATTTTCGATCCCACTGCCTGACATTGCCATTTAGGTGTTTATCAATCATCTCACACTTAACCAGATAAGTGAACTGAACTCCTTTCCCCCAGATCTGTTCCTCCAATCTACCCTACCTTAGCAAAGGAAAACGTCCCACCCGCCAACTGCCCAAATCAAAAGCCTGCAAATCACCCGAGGTCCTGGCTCTCACGGGAGGGACTCCATTAGGGTCCCAGGGGCTGCATTAAGAGTCCCGACAGCGACGCAGTAAATGAGACAAGACGCTGCGGTAGGGGAGAGAGACCCATACATTCAAATGCCTTAAGGGGTCTGGGCCTACAGGTCTCCAGAACTGGGGAGGGCCTGGGGTTACAAAGCAGTTTTCAGATTTTTAAATACATTGAGCGCCAAAAGAGACCCCGCGGGGGCGATGGGGGAGGGGAGCGCACTGGGAGCCAGGAAAGGCCCCTTCTCCAGGAGGCCCGGGCCCAGCCCGGGGGTGGGGGCGTCTGCGTGAGGGAGTGGAGGCTGATGTAAAAGTGGCGCCCGCTGAGATTAGGGAAGGGGGTGTGCGTGAGGGGATCGTGGGACCTGCTTCTGCCCTGCACTCCCCCACAGAAAGCGGCTGTATTGCAAAGGCCGCTCCGGCAGCGCACGGCCAAGCGCGGTGTCGCGACCCGCAGGGCTGCGGCTCGCCATGAAATCCCTCAAGTCTCCCCTCAGGGAACGCTGAAGCCGCGCCACGCCCCCGTCCTTACCAGTCCGGATCAGCTGCTGTTCGCGAGCTGCCGGCCACGCACCAGCCCCGGAGGCGCTCCCGGGGCACAGCCGGCGGCGACTACGCCTCCTCAGGCCCCCGGCGCCGCCGACGCGCACGCCTCCACACGCGCGCGTCCAGTGGAGACCTGCGATTGGCTGCCAGGTGCCGGCGCGAGATCGGCGCGGCTCCGAGCTAGGAGCATGCGCGCGCTCTGACGCCCCTGGTGGCGACGGCTGGACGCGGGGTTAAATTGAGAAGGAGGAGGGCAGCAGCAATACCCCTGAGGCCTTGAAAGGATCTTGGGTTCCGGATCACGGTTCCAGGCAGTCAGGGTTCCAGAGCTGAGGGGGTATCCAAGCAGTCAGGGTTCCAGAGCTGAGGAGCATCCAGGCAGTCAGGGTTCCAGAGCTGAGGGGCACCCAGGCAGTCAGGGTTCCAGAGCTGTCGCAGCCAGGGCTTGGGGTGGGGGGTAGGCTTCCAGTCCATCAGGGGATGGTTTGCCCACCAGAAGGCCAGCTGTTATAATTCTCAGGTGTGGTCCCTTTGTTGACTATCCATGCTTAAGGGATTGTGAGGAAACAACTGAACCTAACATCTGTCCTCTTCTAGTTACATCTGGGGCCAGTTGAATCCAGCCTGCCACCTGTTTTTGTACAGCTGGCAGCAAGCTAAGAACCGATTTCACGTTTTTTTAATGGCTAAAAAGAGAATATTTTGTGGCATGTGAAAATTATATGAAATTCAAAATTCAGTGTCCATAAATAAAGTTTTATTGGAACAACAAACATGCCCATTCCTTTCGGTATTATTTATGCCTGTTTTCCTGCTTCAACAGCAAAGTTGATTAATTGCCAGAGACCATGTATGAAAAGCTTAAAATATTTACTGTCTGGCCCTTTACAGAAAGTTTGCCCACTCAGTTTACTTGCAGCTTTGATTTTTTTTTTGAATTGACCAATTCTGCCAAAAGTCTATTTTAGCAATCTTTTTGGGGGGCGGGTAAATCGCTTTTGGTTTAATTAATCTATAATGTTATTTTCTTATCTATTTTATCTATTTCTTCCATTCTGTTATTTTCTTCCTTCGTGACTTCATAGGCTTGTTCTGTTACTTCTCATTACAACTTTTGGAGAAAAATGCCTACCTCGTTTGCTTGTAAACTTTTTTGTTTCTCTTGTATTTAATGCTATAAATTTACCTTTAAGTACCAGTTTAACTGTGTCTCACCAGTCCGCTTGGTAATATGTTCATTATCCTTCAATTAGATATGTCCTAATTTTGCTAGTTGTTAGAAATGCTTGTTCCCTGGTGCCGCAAAGAAATAGCACTTGAACATAAATTTAATTTTCTCAGCAAGGCCATTTTCACTTTCTGCAGAAAGGGTACACTCGCCAGCAGTTTTGCCACGAGAGTACCCCAAACAAAGGATACAGGGTTATTTATAACCTGACGCATCCACCCTACTGCTGTGTCCGGTTTCCATTGGCTGGAACAGGACCTCACATTCTGTGTTTGTCCCGATTGGCTAACAACTTAGAACTTTCTAAAAGAGGCAAAGGCAGAGGAGAACAAAGGAAGGAGGATGTAACTTGTAGAATGCTGAGAAAGGTAAAAACACCTCCAAATAGGAAGAGGAACAGGCTATGACCTAATGCTTGCTTGGACCAGTATAAGCATGCAAGGGCAAATATTTAGGCTAAATTGTGGGAGCTAAGAACACAAAGTATATTAATTTCTTTATTACGGCTAGCAGATATCTAAGAATGTTAGCACAGGTCTTTGAATAAATTTTACTTCTAAGAGAAGTTACTATTTATTCGTAATTAGACAGGGAGGAAAGTCTTTGAAGAGGAACCTCTATTTTTTACATAGTGATTCTTTCTAACACAAGGGTTATATAGTATATGTTATTTATTTTTGAAATCTATGAGATTTTTAAAAGATTTTTTAATTGTATTATAATCAAATCACATGGCCTAAATATTACTCACCCTTGCATTTGAAGATTTCTGTTCAGTGAAGTGTACCATAGTCAAAATGAAGAGATCATAGATGTAAAGAAGATATTTGCAGTATCTAAAATGTATATATGAGGCTGATATGTAAAGATATTTGCATTATCTAAAATGTATATATGAGGCTGATATGTAAAGAAGATATTTGCAATATCTAAAATGTACGTAAGAGGCCTGGCACGGTGGCTCACACCTGTAATCCCAGCATTTTTGGAGACCAAGGCAGGCAGATCACTTGAGGTCAGGAGTTCAAGACCAGCCTGGCCAACATGGTGAAACCCCATTTTTGTACAAAAAATACAAAAATTAGCTGGGTGTGGTGGCACGCGCCTGTAGTCCTAGCTACTCGGGAGGCTGAGGCATGAGAACTGTTTGAACCTGGGAGGCAGAGGTTGCAGTGAGCTGAGATTGCACCACTGTACTCCAGCCTTGGGCAACAGAGCGAGACTCCGTCTCAAAAAATAATAACATGAAAAATAAATCTATGAGAAATGATCTTCTTTTGGCTTCATAATAATTCCAATGTCCATCAGTAAATTAGTATCAACTAAGCTCCAGGCTTTATTCAAATGTCACTAGTTTTTCCCATCATCCTTTTTGTTCCAGATTCCCACCCAGGATACTGAATTGTACTTGGTCATTTTGTGTTCTTAGCCTTCTGTGGTCTGTGACAGTTTCTTAAACTTTTCTTGCTTTTCATGACCTTGACAATTTTAAGAAGTAAAGGTCAGGTATTTTTCAGAGTGTCTCTCAATTTAGGTTTGATGTTTTTCTCATGGTTACACTGGGGTTATGGTTTTTAGAAGACTATCACAGACATGATGTGTCTTTCTCATAATTTCTCATCAGCGATCCATGCTATCAATAAGACTTCCTACTGGCTTCTCCGCTGTAAATTACTTCCCCCCCCTTTCATACCTTATTCTAAATCTTGCCTACATGCAGGAAGGCCGTGAGGTCTCATTGAAGGAAAATTATCTACACAAGTTACTTTGCAATTCTTCTTTAAGGAAGATTTGTCTCTTCTTCCTTTAGTTTTAAATTAATCAAAAATAGCTTTTTAGTTTTAAATTAATCAAAAATAAAATAAAAAATTTAGTACCTCAGTCATACTTGCCACATTTCAACAGATCAATAGTCACCTGTAGCATATTGGACAGAGCAGAAGTAGAGCATTTTCATCATTGCAGAAAGATCTACGGACAGCACTGACTTAGATCATTAGTCAACCTTTCTTCTTCCCAAATATATGCATTTAGAAATATAAATTCCCATGAAATGCTTTAGTTCCATCCCATAAATTTTGTGGCTGTTTTCAATATCTTTCAGTTCAACATTTTCCTTTTTTCACTGCAATTTCTTAGAGGAGCTATGGGTTATTCAGAATGAGGACCAGGACTGGGGTGAGATAAGCAAGGAGGCTGAGGCACATTAAGGAGAGACCCACGCCCAGCTTCAGGTATGGCATATTGTCACCTTAGGTTCCCTGCTTGCCTCACCCTAGTCCCAGCCCTGTTTAGAAATGTATTGCCTAATTTAGGAACTTTGGGTTTTTTTTCAGTGATCTTTCTGTTACTGATTTGTAAGTTGATTCCCGTGTACTCAGTGGGTAACTACAAAGAGCCCCACAGCTAACATCACAATTAAAGTAAACTATTCTACCTGAGTTTGAGACCAAGAAAAGCACACCCATGAAAGCCACTTCAATTCGCAAAGCATTTGGAATAGCCAAGGCAATTTTGAACACCAAAGTTGGAGAAATGAAACTACCACACGGAGGATTATGCAAAGCTACAATAATTAAGATACTGCAGCATTAGCACAAGGATAGAGAACAGGACAAATGAAATGAAATAGATTCCAGAAACACATATATACAATCATACCTGATTCACAGTTTCCACGGCAATACAGTAGGGAAGGAGTGGTCTTTTTAGTAAGTGGTGCTGATTGATTTTGGGTATGTATATGAAAAAATTAGTCTTCATGCCTTATCACACCATTAACAAAAAATCAGTTTGAGATGTCTCATCAAAACAGTAAAGCTTCTAGAACATAGAAGGAATATCTTTATGTCGTTTGTAGACAATTTCTTAAATAAGACTCATGAAAGATAAACCATAAAACCACGATTTAGATCCAAATATGGGACATTTCCAGTGCCCCAGCACCCTTCCCAGTCGACAGCCCAGTTTTTAAAAAGGTAGGAGGGGGCAAAACTTGAATAGACATTTAATAAAAAGAAATACTCACGTGGCCGATAACTATATAATCTCAAGGTCCATTAATCATCAGGGAAGTGCAAATTAAAGCCACAATAAGGTACCACTACAATTTCAAGAGAAGGGCACTTACTAAAAGGACTGACAGTACCAAGTGCTGGATCAGTAGCAATGGAATTCGCAGTATCGGTGGTGGGAATGTAAATCGTTTCAATCACTCTGGAAATGTATTTGGCAGTATCTACACTAGACAGCTAAATATATGCAGTTCCAGCACTTCTCATAGCTATATATACCCACGAGAAATGATTACATGCTTACCAAAAGACACGCACAAGCTCATAGCAGCTTTATTCAAAATTGCCAAAGAATCAGCCTCAAAGTCCATCAACAGTGAAATAAATTTATACAAAACTGCCACAGTCACTCAACAAAATTCTACCCAGCAATGAAAAAGAATGTGCTACTGCTACACACAGCAAAAATGCATCTCACTTATTTTATTTCATTTTACTTTATTTTGAGACAGTCATGCTCTGTCACCCAGGCTGGAGGGCAGTGGCGCGATCTCAGCTCAGTGCAAACTCCCCCCTCCCAGGTTCAAGCGATTCTCCTGCCTCAGCCTCCCGAGTAGCTGGGACTACAGGCGCCCACCACCACGCTTGGCTAATTTTTCTATTTTATGCAGAGAAGGGGTTTCACTATGTTGGCCAGCCTGGTCTCAAACTTCTGACCCCAAGTGATCCACCCACCTCAGTCTCCCAAAGTGCTGGGATTACAGGCATGAGCCATCACACCCAGCCATCTCACTTATTTTAAAAAGCCAAAGACAAGAATCTTTGTGTGATTCCATTTATTTAAAGTTCATGAACAAGAAAAACCTCTGAGGTCAGAATAAGGGATGCCCTGTTGGGAGCATTTGACTGGGAAAGGGCTCAAAGACTTTGGAGCTACTTCTTGACAATAGGGAGCTGATGAGATGTCACTGTAAAAAACAACCTGACAGTTGATGACATTGCTTGCTAGCATCTACAGCCACAATGCACATATGGCCTAGCCTCACTTCTGCCTTTCGGAACTCCTGGAAGTCAGTCGAACATATTTTCAGCTAGAATCCTTGCTGCAAGGGAGTCTGGAATCTCTAGTGTTCATAGCCGTCTTCTTTTTAGTTTTTACAGGAGAAGACTGAGGGTCAGTGTTGCTAACAATAACGGAAGCCATACCACTTGATCCTGGCTGAACTGAAGTTTGAATAATAACTTTTGTTTCACTAGGCAACCCTTGCAGTTGCTCCGGCTTTTTAAATGTTTGATGGTCCTTGGTTTTGTGCTCTATTTCCTCCTTCAACGTCAAAAACTGTAGCCGGCACTTGGAACACTGAAGGACCCTCCTTCTGCTGTGCCTCCAACAATGATTCATGTATGGTATTGCAGTTTTGAAAAGTTTGAGACAAAACAGACAAAGCAAATTCTTTGTGTTTTCATGGCACGTTCTAAAATGTGTTTCCACATCAGCAAAGACCGACGATCTGTAATGGCAAACCTGGCACACATAAGGCATTTCGCCAGGCTTATGATGGTCCTTCATGTGTTGTAAGAGGACCTGATCTGTTTCAAATGACAATTCACAGATTTTACAGACAGCAGAGGGCCCCATGGCGATGTGTACACTATCAATGTGACACTGTAGCTGGAAGGGAGTGGGAAACTGCCGGTGGCAGTGCTGGCAGGTGGTGTGGTCTTCCCAGCTGTCGTTCCTCTGCTTCTCAAATTCCAAATGATGCTTCATGTGATTCATAAACTTAATATTTTTTAGAACTTTCACGCAGCTGAGGCATTTAAAGGTGGTGTGAGTCTTCTGTTCCGGCTGCCCATCTCCTTTATGCTGTCCATAGTAAAAGTCGCTAAGTAACACGATGGGATTTTCTTTCTTGGGATCAAAGGTCTTGTTTTGACTTGCTAGACTTGAAATGTCTGTCATTGCCAGGGCAGACTCACTTGCTCTCTCTGGATCTGTAAGATTGAAATGTGCCTTTCCATTAGCATCAGGCCAAGGAAATGTTACTCCATTCTGAACATGGTTTGATGAGTTGCAGATCCCCTGTGAGGGTGTATTTGTGCTTATTGTAGAAGACATATCTGAAGGGACCACAGCTAAAGAAGGTACCCCTGGGATTCCATCCCTGAGTTTAACCCTTTTGGAATCTCTGCTGTTTATATCTGAAGTGGAAAGTCGCTTTGAATCAGGAGAACTCTCATTTCTGCCTCCTCCAGAGACCATAGCTCCAACTAGACACTGAGTCCCTGGGGGGAGCGAGTCTGAGGAACTGGGAGAAACAACTTGTGGTGAGCTCATTTTATAACCAGGTTCAGATGAAGACTTCATAGTGACAGGACTATCTGTCGATCGCCCCTCAGACAGAGAAACCGGCATGATGGCTTTTGCCATAGAGGTCACATGATTTGCAGGCTGCGACACGTGAGCAGGATATTGACGGAAGTGGCCTTTCTTTCTTCTTGAATTTGAGCCTGGGGTGACTCTGTTCAAAATGTTTGAAACGACTGGTTTTGAATTTGAAATCATCCCGACAAAGAGAACTTCAGCATCTCTATGTACATGCTCCACCCCAACATAGATCAGATCTGGATCTTCATCATCCTCCTCCCTTTGTTTGGATTCTCTCAAATTCTTCTTTGGTGATTCCACTTTCTTACACAAAAAGATATCTCCCATTTTCAATTTACTTTTTGCTTGAAGCCACTGGTCTCTTCAACTTCCAGAGCTGTCTTTTTACAAATTGCCACCTAAGTGCAACCATGTGACAATAGTCAATATTTATTTCGAAAGACAAAATCATTACTTTATTGTATCCTCCCTTAAAACACTGAGATAACCATCAACATCTCTATTTTACACGTCAGAAATGAGGCTTGAAACATTTTAAATGGCATAATAATTTCAAATTTACCTGTCTCTCCTCCCCTGGTCTTCTGCAGTTGTGAGGCAAAGGAAGCAAGATTTCAGGAGGTGCAGATGGAACATCTCAGAGTGCTTGCCTCTAAATTTTGCACTCTAGATGCCTCACTCACCTCCTCCTCATCCCACAGGTACTCTCTCAGATGTCTAAGGTTTCTAACCAACTTGAACAAAACTTCTCTCAAAAACATTCTGCTCCTAGCCTGGGCAACATAGCAAGACCCCATCTCTACAAAAAAATTTAAAAATTAAAAAAAATTAGCTTGGCATGGTGGTACACACCTGTGGTCCCAGCTACTTGGGAGGCTGAGCCAAGAGGAACACTTGAGCCCAGGACTTCAAAGCTATGTTCATGCCACTGCACTCCAGCCTGGGCAACCAAATGAGACCCCATCACACAAACACACACACACACAAATCACAGCACACACACACACACACACCCTTTGCTGTTCCTGTAATGTTCCTTTTCTCAGTAAACTCAGTTGCTCAGTCTACAAACTTCAGAGTCATCCTTTGCCAGACTTTCTCTCATACACTACAGCCAATCAATTAGCAAAGCTAGTCTGCTCTATCTTTTAAAGATATCCAGAATCTGACTACTCTCTTCCACATCTACTGCCACCTCCCTGATGGAAGGTACCATGTTCTCTCCCTGGATCACTGCAGAAGTTGCCAGTCTTAAAAGTTTTGTCAGATCTCCCCATGGTGGCCCCAATGCCCCTGTTAAAATATACAGGGGAGCAAGTATATTTCGCTCTTAAGTCTTCAATGACTTTCCATTTCATTCATAGGAAATACCAGCAAACTTTAAATTTCCCCATGGAACCTTAGGTCATCATCGCCCTTGCTAACTCCTCTGTTGCTCTGATGCAGCCATCCTGAGCTCCGTGAATCTGGAACACAGCAGGCCTTTTTCTTTTTCAGAACTTTTGTTGTTCCCGGACGTTGCGTGCCTCTTTCCCCAGATTAACCCCATCTGGGCTCCTGGTCTGCCTCAGTCCCATGGTTCCTCTTCAGCAAGGCTTACCTGACCACAATATCAAAAATCACAACCTCCTTAACTCATATGTTCAAACCCTCAATGTTATTTTTCAACTTAGCATTTATCACTGCCTACCACACAATATGTAAAATATATCTTGCAAGCCCAGGAGTTTGAGATTACAGTGAGATATATCATGTCACTGCATCCAGCCTGGGTGACAGAGGAAAGGAAGACTCTGTGTCTTAAAACAACAACAAAAAATGGGACAGGTGCAGTGGCTCGTACCTGTAATCCCAACACTTTGTAAGGCCAAGGCGGAAGGATTGCTTGAGGTCAGGAGCTCGAGACCAGCCTGGGCAACATAGCAAGACCCATCTCTACAAAAAATTTAAAAATATAACTTGTTTCTTTTCTGTGTTTACCCACTAAACTGTATGCCACACGAGGGCAGGGAGTTGTGTTTCATTTACTCCTCAGCTTATAGAGCAATGTCTGTCATACTGTGCATGCTAAATCTTTGTTAAATAAATAGTAGCTGTTATTAATATGATCATTTAGGTGTACCAGAGGCTCTAATCCATTATTCCAGATTCTCTAAGCATTTAATGAAATCCAAATCCAAATGATTTAATACTGTTGTACAAGGGAGAAGGTAAACCTGTGTGTATGTGTGTGTAAATTGAAACAAAAGTTTTGTCAAATACTCTAATACCTTCACCTTACCACAAGGGATAGGCTCTGATACCTTCTATGCCATATTTTATTGATTCTAAGGTATAGGCTTAGATTTCCATTTTAACATCTCTAAATCAGATTGCATCTCATCATAGCATCTCATCAATATAAAATACATTTCATAATTTGTTTTTGCAGTATATATTTTTATTTCATAGTGGAATCAAAAATGACATATCTCAGATCCTTTTGTGAGGATAAGCGTGATGCTTGGGTTTTCACTCATGTGAGATGTGCTTCCCTCAAACCTTGTTATATCAGCATGTTTAACATCTGATGTAAAAAAAAAAAAAAAGGAGAGTAATGTATCTTTTATAATTGATGGCATCTTTTTTTTTTTTTTTTTGAGATGGAGTCTCGCTCTGTCGCCCAGGCTGGAGTGCAGTGGTGCGATCTCGGCTCACTGCAGGCTCCGCCCCGCGGGGTTCACGCCATTCTCCTGCCTCAGTCTCCCGCGTAGCTGGGACTACAGGCGCCCGCCACCTCGCCCGGCTAATTTTTTGTATTTTTAGTAGAGACGGGGTTTCACCGTGTTAGCCAGGATGGTCTCGATCTCCTGACCTCGTGATCCGCCCGCCTCGGCCTCCCAAAGTGCTGGGATTACAGGCATGAGCCACTGTGCCCGGCCAATTGATGGCATCTTATAGTCAGTGAAAAATCCTATTTCTTTTTGTAAGCTGACAGCACACTAAACTTGTTTTGTAGTTCTCTAATGGATATCAGCTACATTTTGGCAAACAATGGTTTAAGACAGAAATTGGAAAATTGGCCCTTCCCCTGTTTTTGTACAGTCAGGAAGCCAAGAATGTTTCTTACATTTTTAAGGTATTGTTTTCTTACTTTTTTTTTATTAAGATTTTTTTAAACTTGTACATTTTTAAATTTGGGGGAATAAACATGCAAAAGGAAGCGGGGCGCGGTGGCTCACGCCTGTAATCCCAGCACTTTTGGGAGGCCGAGGTGGGCAGATCACTTGAGCTCAGGAGTTCGAGACCAGCCTGGCCAACATGGTGAAACCCCTTCTCTACTAAAAATACAAAAATTAGCCAGGCATGGTAGCAGATGCCTGTAGTCCCAGCTACTCGGGAGGCTGAGGCAGGAGAATCTCTTGAACCTGGGAGGTGGAGGTTGCAGTGAGCGAAGATCGCACCACTGTGCTCCAGCCTGGGTGACAGAGTGAGACTGTCTCAAAAAAAAAAAAAAGAAAAAAGGAATATTTTGTGATGTGAAAATTATATAACATTCAAAATGTCAGTGTTCACCATAAAGTGTTGTGGAACACAGCCATAATCATTTTTTTAGTGCTGTTGTCCATGGCTGCTTTCACACTTCTATGACACAGTTGAGTACAGTAGTACCCCCTTATCTTTGGGGCATATGTTCCAAGACCCCCGAAGTGGATGCTTGAAACTGCAGATGGAACCAAATTCAATATATACTATATTTTTTCATATATGTACATACCTATGATCAAGCTTAATTTATAAATAGGCACAGTAAGAGGTTAAGCATAACAAAATAATTATAACAATATACTGTAATAAAAGATATGTGAGATAGGGCGTGGTGGCTCATGCCTGTAACCTCAGCACTTTGGGAGGCTGAGGTGGGTGGATCACCTGAGGTCAGGAGTTTGAGACCAGCCTGGCCAACATGGTGAAACCCATCTCTACTAAAAATACAAAAATTATCTGGGCAGAGTGGCGAGCACCTGTAATCTCAGCTACTTGGGAGGCTGAGGCAGGAGAATCACTTGAACCCGGGAGGCGTGGGTTGCAGTGAGCCGAGATCGCACCGTGGCACTCCAGCCTGGGCGGCCAGAGTGAAACTCCGTTTCAAAAAAATAAATTAATAAATTAAATTAAAGGTATGTGAATGCAATCTCTCGCTGACAAAATATCTTTATGTACTGTAGATCTTGGCAACCTTAGCATACGATTTTGTTTTCTTTCCTTATTATGTTAAAAACTTTCCCATTTTCACTTAAAGGAAGCAAGCACTTTACAGCTTCTTTTTGGCATATTTGAATCGCCAGCATTGCTACCCTTGTACTTTGGGGCCATTATTAAGTACCATAAGGGTTAATTGAACACAAGCACTGAGATACCACCAGGACAGTCACTCTGATAACTGCGACCGCTCCTAAGTGACTAAGGTACAGAGAGCGCAGCCAGCCAACAGCATGGGGACTCAGGACAAAGGGAGGATTACCATCCCAGGGCAGGGCTGACTCAAGAGCTTATCACACTACTCAGAAGGGCTGGCGACTTAAAATTTATGTATTGCCTATTTCTGGAATTTTCCAATTAATATTTTGGAACCTCAGGTAACTGAAAGCACAGAAAGGAATACCCTGGATAAGGGAAGACTACTGTAGTTGAAGCAGAGAATTGCAATGCCTAAAATATTTGCCATCTAGTCTTTCACAGAACAAGTTTGCCAGCTCTAGTTTTAGAGGAGCAAAATGAAAGATAGCAAATTTCTCAGCTCACCAGTTCCTAAAGTTGCGAGTGCATCCAGATGATTCAGTGCAGCTCAGTATGTTCCACTCTGGGCCGCAAGGGAAAGCGAAGCTGGAGCTTCCTTGTCTCCACCTCCCGGAGAAATTTGTCCAGAGACCGGCAGCACTGCTTCCGCAGGCGAACAACGCCGCTTGCTCTTCAAAGTCCTTTCTGAGGCCAGATCAGAAGGTCCCACTCCTTTTAAGCCCCTTATAGCCCAATCATTTTTCCAGTCACGTGTCTGAAGCAGTTTATCCTGATTGGATTTTCAGTTGTTGTCCAGCTTGATTGCCAAAAGTTTTCCTCCAATTGCTACTCAAAGGAAAGAATGAGGGTGGGGCTTCAGGGCTGCCTTCCAGGTTGATTGAGCTGGTGATGGGCATCCTCCCTCCTCTCTCTCTTGTTCAGAGTCTACCACTTTCTCTGCAGTGTGCCTGGGCCCTCAGCTATTGGGGATGAGAAGGGATGCGGAGTGGGAGGCAGTCCACATGTCTGTTCCAACAAAGCTCAGAGGTGAGCGAGTTGAAAAGCAGATGTCTTTCCAGTAGGAGCCCCAGGGGACAGGGTGGGTCTCAATCTCACAGCCCTTGAAGACCGAGCTCCCGTAGGAGTTTCCAGGTGTCCAAACAGGGTCCTCACTGTGAGTCTTCAACAGCTTTCTCCAAGCAGCAGCCCACTCCCTTCTTAATCCATTTCCAGGGGTCAAAGGTCTATCCTGGTTCCCTCCCATGCCCTCTCACTTCCTTCCCTCTGTCTCTCCCTCCTCCCTCCTCCTTCACTACCCCCTCCCTGGAACCTTCTCAGCTGAATTTCAGGCCCACCCTTTCACTCTCTTTACAGGCTTTGCAACACAGATTAGAAAGCGGGGGAGGGGGAGCCTCAAGAGTCCCTTGACAGGTAAGAAATATTTATATTTCCACCCCCATTCCAACGCAATGCAATCAAGTCTCAAAATTAAAACGAAAATCATTTGCAAATTAAAATGTTCTAAAGTACCATCTCCTGATAAAACTTTAAAAATACCTTTCTGGGCCGGATGTGGTGACTCACATCTGTAATCCCAGCACTTTTGAAGGCCGAGGCAGCAGATCACATGAGCCCAGTAGTTTGAGACCAGCCTGGCCAACATGGTGAAAACCTGTCTCTTATTCTTTATAAAGTAAAATACAAAAATTTCCTGGGCGTGGCCGTGCGTGCCTGTAATCCCAGGTACTCGGGAGGCTGAGGCAGAATAATCACTTGAACCCAGTAGGCAGAGCCCAAGGTGGTATAAAAGTGTGTGACCCATGGTCTTTATTCTTGTCTAGGGACTGGGGAAAGGCTGCTTGAGGGCATTGCAAGTAGCCAAGAGCATGACCCTGGAAAGGAAGGTGAAATGAGGCCCGCTACTGAGGTACACCTGTAGTCCCAGCTATCAAAGGCTGAGGTGAAAGATCTTTGAGCCCAGGAAATCCAGACAAACCTCAGCAAAATATCAAGACCTCTGTTTCTACAAAAGAAAAAAAATTTTTTTTAATTAGCCAGGCATTGTAGCACGTGCCTGTAGTCCCAGCTACCCGGGAGGCTGAGGTGGGAGGATTGCTTGAACCAGGGAGATCGAGGTTGCAGTGAACTATGATTGCATCACATACTTTAGCCTGGATGGAAGAGAGAGACCTTGTCTCATTCATTCATTCATAAATAAATAAGCAAGCAAAGTGAAATGAAGTGCAAGACTTAGACAGTAAAGTTCTAACAGGGGCCGGGCGTGGTGGCTCACGCCTGTAATCCCAGCGCTTAGGCAGAGGCAGGCAGGTGGCTTGAGCCCAGGAGTTTGAGACTAGCCTGGGCAACCTGGCAAAACCGTGTCTCCACAAGAAAATACAAAAAATTAGCCTGGGTGACAGAGTGAAACCCTGTCTCAAAAAAATAAAAAAAGAAAAAAGAAAGGAAGACAGAGAAAGAAAGAAGGAAAGAAAGAGAAAAAAAGGAAGGAAAGAAAGGAAAGGAAATGTGTATTCTGCAGAACTGATATTCACTCCTTCCTCTTTTCCAGAAGCAGAATCCTGCTAGGAAGATTCCAGGAAGCCTAGGCAGTGGTCAGGGGCTGGCTCAGGTATAAAGCAGGCCCTTCCCCTGAGACAGAAGGTTGTGGCAACAATGCTTGTGGGAGGTGAGAAAATTGAGAGGAGTGTCTAGAAATAGCTCGGAGTTGCATCTTATTTTCTTTTGCTCAGTTTTAAAAGTCCCAAATAAGACCACATCTAGCTGTTCTAACCAAGCTATTCTAACCCACTAATCTAGTAAAAATAAAATCACATGGTCTGAATATAAATTTGCATCAGGATACATGCCTTTCCTATGAAACATTTATGTTTCCTTATAAAATGTATCCTCCTTTTCTGCAGAAAACTAACTGTAATGCATCCAAAGGTCACAGAATGTGGTGAAACATCCTCATCATTGATTTTTTTAAAAAATTTTATTTATTTATTTATTTGTTTTTTGAGACATGGTCTCACACTCTGTTGCCCAGGCTGGAGTGCAGTGGAACGATCATGCAGTCTTGATGTCCTGGACCCGAGCGATCCTCCCACCTCAGCCTCCCAAGTAGCCAGGACAATAGGCAGATGCCACCATGTCTAACTGATTTACTTTTATTTTTGAGTAGAGATGAGGTCTCACTATGTTGCCTGAACTGGTCTCAAGCTCCTGAGCTCAAGCAAACTTCCCACCTCGGCCTCCCAAAGTTCTGGGATTACAGGCGTGAACTACCCGCACCCTGCCCTCCATAACTGATTCTTTTTTTTCAGACTTCACTCTGTTGGCCAGGCTGGAGTACAGTGGTGTGATCTCTGCTCACTGCAACCTCCGTCTCCCAGGCTCAAGCAATTCTCGTGCCTCAGCCTCTCAAGTAGCTGGGATTACAGGCATGAGCCAACACGCCCGGCTAATGTTTGTATTTTTAGTAGAGACAGGGTTTCACCATGTTGGCCAGGCTGGTCTTGAACTCCTGATCTCAGGTAATCTGCCCACCTCGGCCTCCCAAAGTGCTAGGATTAAAGGCGTGAGCCACCACGCCCAGCCATAGCTGATTCTTTATCAGTCTGCCTTTGGGAAGTTTCCACTGGGAAACACTCTCCAGGACTGTTTCGGACCAGCCCCACTTTCCAAACAAAGAATTCCAGTGATGAGATTAAAGCTTGTCACAATATGTTTTTCAAATGACTGGTAGAAGCAGACCTTAAGATTAAAAAAGAAGAAGAAAAAATGGCTGAAATCTTGAATCCTTTATTGCTTTAAGGCACAGAATAGGAAATGGATGGCGCGTCGGGAATGGATGCAGGTCAGGGACAGACCATCACTCATGCCACCTTGCTGTGTTTATGAAACAGAGTGCTAGAAGTTAAATTTGGGGGATGCACAAAGAGATGCCTAATCAGATGAACTCAGAGTTGGAATTGCTGTTTGTGAGACAGTTACATCAAAGGAAGAAAAGAAGGAGAGAAGAAAGGTGACTATCAGGAGAATTTTCCAGCCAGAAGAAAGACACAGAGGCACAGGCATTTCATGGCCTGAAAAAGGAAGAGCACAGAGACAAGTGTGGCTCCAGTTAAAGGACCAGCGGAGATGAAAGATGAGGTCAGTGATTTGGGTAGGGGACATAGCAGTTAAGATATTGTTGGTCAAGGCTGGGCGTGGTGGCTCACGCCTGTTAATCCCAGCACTTTGGCAGGCCAAGGCGGGTGAATCACGAGGTTAGGAGATCAAGAGCATCCTGGCTAACACAGTGAAACTCCGTCTCTACTAAAAATACAAAAAAATTAGCCGGGCGTGGTGGCGGGCGCCTGTAGTCCCAGCTACTTGGGAGGCTGAGGCAGGAGAATGGTGCAAACCCAGGAGGCGGAGCTTGCAGTGAGCCGAGATCACGCCACTGCACTCCAGCCTGGGCGACAGAGCAAGACTGTGTCTCAAAAAAAAAAATAGACGTGAAGGATGCAAAGATGCGTATGAGTGACAGTATGTCTAATCTCCTACTTTATGAATGGCCATTTTCAAATTCTATCATTCCTTCAATATTTATTAATTCTTTTGTAAAGAAGAATGTTGATTTGTCTATCAGTGTGGCACCAGGAAGATTTATGTTATTTAAAAATGTTATAAACAGATACTGTCATTATTTTTTTGATGCTTCAAATGTCAAGTGAGAGTCCCTTTACCATGCTCCCCATATCTTTATTTTTCCTTTTTTGAGAGAGAGAGTCATGATTATTCATTTATTTCACACCTGATTCTCATTACATCAGTCTGAGAGAGGAAGGAGTTATGCACCAGCGCATACAATTGTGCTGTTCTATTATCCTTCAGACAGTATTGGGATCTAGGTTCTAGTTATTTTTAAATTCAGGGATCTGAATCAGAGCCCAAAGAGGTTGACTGCTGCTGCTGGGGACTGGGGGCTGCTGGGAGAACAGCAGAAAACAGGCATGGAGCTGACCCTGGACGGTTCATGCTCCAGAACTCCGATCTTGGTACCTGAGGATCTTTCACGGAGATCATGGACAGGGGTGTGACAGCAGTTCCTCAAAGCAAATGGGGATGGCAAACCTGGGGCTGGTACTTGGGAGTTGGAAAAACAACCATATTTGCACAAGGAGAAACTGAAAAACCGCTGTCCTTCCATCTGTATCCCAGAATCCTATGTAGAACCATGAGGACAGGGCCAGGGTTGGTTCCTTGGTCTCTGTTTGTCCTCATCAGTAGTCCAGTAGGAGTCCTGCAAACTTATCACCATCTGGAGACAGTGCTGCCAACTCTTCTTTATGCCCCACTGCTTGAGATGCTAGTCGATTGCTTTAGACTATTCATGATTCTTCTTCCTCAACTCTTCACATTAAAGAAATTCCTAGCCAGGTATGGTGGCTCATGCCTGTAATCCCAGCACTTTGGGAGGCCAGAAGTTGGAGACCAGCCTGGGCAACATGGCGAAACCCTGTCTCTACAAAAAAATAGAAAAATTAGCTGAGCGTGGTGGTGGGTGCCTATAGTCCCAGCTACTTGGGAGGCTGAGGTAGGAGGATCACCTGGAACCTGGGAGGCAGAGGTTGCAGTTTGCCGAGATCACACCACTGCATTCCAGCCTCGGCAACAGAGTAAGACTGTCTCAAAAAAAAAAGGAAAGTAATTCCCGTTCTTTGATGAAACTCTGGATCTCCCGGTCATTCCGTGTTTTAATCAACTGTTCTCAGGGTTTTCTAGTTCCTTGGTTTCATAATTTCAGTCTCAAGTCTCACTTTCTCTGTTTTTATTCCTGAGTTTCCTCCTAAGGTTCTTTTCATTGCAGCCACAGGCCTTAGTCCAGGGTCTGCAGAGAGCTAGTACTTACTCTGCCCAAATGGAATCCAAGAGCATCAGAAGGTGCCCGAAGGTGGAAATGTGTTTCTGCTCTCTGCTTTTGGCAGTCTTGCTCTCCATGTCTTTTTTGACATGCCCCCTGATACAGTTTGGATGTTGTAATCAACCAGATCTCGTGTCAAAATGTAACCCCTGATGTTGGACATGAAGTCTGGTGAGAGGTGATTGGATCATGGAGGTGGATTTCTCATGAATGGTTTAGTACCATCCTCTTGGTACTGTCCTCGTGATAGTGAGTGGGTTCTCCTGAGACCTAATTGTTTTAAAGTGTGTGGCACCTCCCGCATCTCTCCTGCGCTGGCTATGATATAGCTATTATGGAAAGCAGTACGGTGGTTCCTCAAAATATTAAAAATAGAGCTACCATATGATTCAGCAATTCCATTTCTGGGTATATATCCGAAGGAAATGAAATCTATATGTTAAAGAGGTATCTTTACTCTCATGTACATTGCAGGACTATTCACCACAGTCAAGATGTGGAATCAACCTAAGTGTTCATGATGAATGGATAAAGATAGTGTGGTATGTATACACAATAAAATGGTATTCAGCCTTTCTTTCTTTTTTTTTTTTTTGAAACAATATCTTCCTCTGTCACCCAGGCTGGAGTGCAGTGGCACGACGATCATAACTCACTGCCGCCTTGAACTCCTGAATTCAAGCAATCCTCCCACCTCAGCCTCCAAAGTAACTGGGACCACAAGTGCATGCCACCAACACCTGGCTAATTAAAAAACAAATTTCTGTAGGGACAAGGTCTCACTTTGTTGCCCAGGCTGGTCACAAATGCCTGTACTCAAGTGATCCTCCCGCCTTGGCCTCCCAAAGTGCTAGGATGACAGGCAAAAGCCACCATGCCTTACCACTATTCAGCCTTAAAATTCAGCCTTAAAATCAAAGGAAGTTCTGTTATTTGCAACAACATGGATAAACCTGGATGACATTATGTTAAGTGAAATAAGTCAGACATAGAGAGACCAATACACAGTGTCTCACTTATAGGTGGAATCTAAAAAAGTTAAACTCACAGAAGCAGAGAGTAAAATGGTAGTTATTAGGGTCAGGACGGGTAGAGGATGGGGAGAATAGGCTAAAAGGTACAAAGTTTCGGTTAAACAGGAGGAATTATTAGTTTTGGAGACCTAACATATAGTCTTACAGCATGGTGACTATAATTAATAATAATGTATAGTATATTTTAAAATTGCTGAGTGAGTAGATTTTGAATGTTCTCATCACAAAATTATAAATATGAGGTGATTGCTATATTAATTGGCTTGATTGATATGTTAATTGGCTTGATTTAATCATTACACAATGTGTGCACATATATTTATCATGTACATCATAAAATATATACAAATTGTCATCTGTCAATCAAAATTTTAAAAAAACATTGAAGATCTGGGCACTAAGTATGCTCAATTGTTATTGCTTCAGTAGACAGACCTAGAAAATACAGTGTACTCATATTTCCATTTAAATTTAGTGCCATGCCAGGGATTCTTCTTTCATTTAATTTTATTTATTTTTATTTTTATTTTTATTTTTTGAGACAGGGTCTCACTCTGTCTTCTAGGCTGGAGTGCAGTGGCGCAGTCTCGGCTCACTGCAACCTCTGCCACCCAGGTTCAAGTGATTCTCCTGCCTCAACCTCCCCAGTAGCTGGAATTATAGGTGCATACCACCACGCTCGGCTAATTTTTTGTATTTTTAGTAGAGATGGGGTTTCACCATGTTGGCCAGGCTGATCTTGAACTCCTGACCTCAGGTGATCTGCCCATCTCGGCCACCCAAAGTGCTAGGATTACAGGTGTGAGCCCTTGTTCCCGGCCCCTTCCTTCATTTTATATTTTTATATATACTATACTCAAGTGATCCTCCTGCCTCGGCCTCTGACATGGTTTGGCTGTGTCCCCACCCAAAGCTCATTTTGAATTGTAGCTCCCGTAATTCCCACGTGTTGTAGGAGGGACCCAGTGGGAGATAGCTGAGTCATGAGGGAGGTTTCCCCCATACTGTTCTCATGATAGTGAGTAAGTCTCATGAGATCTGATGGTTTTCTAAGGGGTTTCCCCCTTTCACTTGGCTCTCATTCTCTCTTGCCTGCTGCCATATAAGATGTGTCTTTTGCCTTCCACCATGATTGTGAGGCCTCCCCAGCTACGTGGAACTCCAAGTCCATCAAATTTATTTTTCTTTATAAATTACCCAGGCTCAGGTATGTCTTTATCAGCAGTGTGAAAATGGACTAATACAGCCTCCCAAACTGCTAGGCTTACAGGCAAGAGCCACCATACCTGGTGACTATTCAGCCTTAGAATCAAAGGAAATTCTGTTATTTGCAACAATATAGATAAACCCAGTTGGCATTATGTTAAGTGAAATAAGCCAGACATACAGAGACAAATACACAGTGTCTCACTTTAATTTTTTTTAATTAAATTTTTTGTACAGATGGTGTCTCGCTATATTGCCCAAGCTGGTCACCAATTCCTGGATTCAAGTGATCCTCCTGCCTTGACCTCCCAAGTGCTTGGATTACAGGCATGAGCCACTGTGCCTGGCCTATTTATATTTTTAAATCCCATCATTCTTATTGTAAGACAAGTACAAGAATCTCTCCTAAGTCTAAATGTATTAGGTCATTCTTGCATTGTTATAAAGAAATACCTGAGACTGGGTAATTTATCAAGATGTTTAATTGGCTTACAGTTCTGTGGGCTGTACAGGAAGCATAGTGGCATCTACTTGTGGGGAGGCCGCAGGCAGCTTACAATCATGACAGAGGGTGAAGGGGAGCAGTCATGTCGCATGGTGAAAACAGGAACGACAGAGCAAGAGGGGAGGTGCTACACACTTTTAAACAACCAGATCACTGAGAACTCACTCACTATTGGGAGAATAGTACCCAGGGGGATGGGTGCTAAACCATTCATGAGAAATCACACCCAGGATCCAGTGGCCTCTCGCCAGGCCCCACCTCCAACAGTGGGAATTACATTTCAATATGAGATTTCCGTGGGCAAACACATCCAAACTATATTATTCTGCCCCGGACCCGCTCAAATCTCATGTCCTTCTCGTATGTCAAAATACAATCATGCCTTCCCAATAATCCCCCGAAGTCTTAACTTATTCCAGCATTAACTCAAAAGTTCAAAGTCTTATCTAAGACAAGGCAAGACTCTTCCACATATGAGCCTATAAAATAAAAAATAAGTTAGTTACTTCCAAGATACAACGGGGATACAACCATTAGGTAAACATTCCCATTCCCAAGGGAGAAATCAGCTAAAAGAAAGGGGCTACAGGCCCCATGCAATTCTGAAACCCAGCAGGGCTGTTGTTAAATCTTAAAGCTCCATAATAATCTCCTTTGACTCCATGTCCCACATCCAGGACACACTGATGCAAAGGGTGGGCTCCCAAGGCCCTAGGCAGCTCCATCCCTGTGGCTTTGCGGGGTTCAGCCCCACCCCTGTGGCTATGCGGGGTTCAGCCCCTGCCACTACTCTCATGGGCTGGCATTGAGTGCCTGAGGCTTTTCCAGGCACAGGGTGCAAGCTATGGGTGGATCCACTACAGCTCCACTAGGTAGTGCCCCAGTGGGGACTCTGTGTGGCAGCTCCAACCCCACATTTCCCCTCCACACTGCCCCAGTAGAGGTTCTTTGTGAGGCTAACATTTTGTTTGTTTGTTTTTTGAGAGAGGGCCTTCCTCTGTCTTCCACCCTGGAGTGCAGTGGCATAATCATGGCTCACTGCAGGCTTGAACTTCTGGGCTCAATAGATCCTCCCACCTTCCACAGTGCTGGGTTTACAGGCATGAGCCACTACGCCCAGCCAAAACGCGTGCACATTCTTACGTCAACCTAATAACAGAGAGAAGCTCTTTAAAAGAAAATGATGTGTGTTTGGCAATAGAGCATTGCAATGAAAATATGTATGCCCCTATGTGTGCATTTGGGGAGGTAAAGGAAGACAAAGGTTTTTAAAGGAAGGATAAGAAGGATTACATAATTGTTTTGAGATAATTTTCCTTGACTACAAAGATCAATAGCAAGGGTGACGCTAGTCCAAGGTTGGAGAGGCAGTTGCTGGGCAGATGCCCTTATGGAAGTATTTTTTGCTTAAGGTTGCGATGTCCTTTGTACAAGGTTGTTTCTGTAGAGTCTTTTGTCATTGTTTTTGTTATCAGGTATGCAAGCGTGAAAACACTCTCTTCATGGCCTTCCCAGGCTCTGTTTGTCAAGTTTTGCTTTGTTGTTGTTGTTGTTTTAACATTAGTGGCTCCATTTTGATTCTGACAACTTTCACACTTCTAAGAGTTTAGAAAATATTCTGTTACTGGCCAGGCGTGGTGGCTCACGCCTGTAATCCCAGCACTTTGAAAGGCCAAGGCGGGCGGATCACGAGGTCAGGAGATCAAGACCATCCTGGCTAACATGGTGAAACCCTGTCTCTACTACAAATACAAAAAAAAAAAATTAGCCGGGCATGATGGCGGGCACCTGTAGTCCCAGCTACTTGGGAGGGTGAGGCAGGAGAATGGCATGAACCCGGGAGGCGGAGCTTGCAGTGAGCTGAGATCGCACCACTGCACTCTAGCCTGGGCAACAGAGTGAGACTCCGTCTCAAAAAAAAAAAAAAAAAGAAAAGAAAATACTCTTACTTTTTTTTCCTAAAAATGTATTTTAATTTCTCTTTTTTCTTTCTTTCTTTCTTTTTTTTTTTTTTTTATGAGATGAAGTCTCACTCTGTGGCGCAGGCTAGAGTGCAGTGGTGCGATCTCAGCTCACTGCAAACTCCACCTCCCGGGTTCAAGTGATTCTCCTGCCTCAGCCTCCCGAGTAGCTGGGATTACAGGCGCCCGCCCCCATGCCTGGCTAATTTTTGTATTTTTAGTAAAGACAGGGTTTGCCATGTTGTCCAGGCTGGTCTGGAACTCCTGACCTCAGGTGATCCACTCGCCTTGGGCCCCCAAAGTGTTGCAATTATAGGGGTGAGACAACAGGCCCAGCTTTTTTTTTTTTCTTTTTATACTGGATTTTAAAAAACTAGGAACAGAATTCTTAAAGTCAAATGCTTATAAGGGCCGAGCATCAAACACATTTGCAGCATAGGGTAAAAGAGAAATGAGCCCTTGGAAAATAGAAGCATGCAACAGTCTTTCAAGGATGTTAATGGTACTACTCAATTTTATCTGATTTCTGCCTGATGGCAATGCTGGTGTTGCTGATCTATTTTCCAAGCAACACTGGAAATTTAAATTTTTATGTTGTCTCTCAATTTTAAAGTGCCAGAAAGTATATATTTTTAAGTTTTAAAGCATAATGAAGCCAAATAAAGCACATCTGTGTGTTGATTTGAACTGTGAATTGCCTGTACCCCAATCTGGCTTAATGAGATGTGTATTTTACACTTCACTAGTTTCTGAACTTAAGGTGAGTGGCACATGCAGAACTTAAGGCGAGGGGCACATGCAGAATGATGTGGTCCCTAACTGCCCACGGAAGTGTCTCTAGTGATTGCAGCAGCTTAATCTAAGAGTTATCCCAACTGTCATCTTCATCCCAAATATTTTAGTATAGTATTTTAGTATAGACATCCCTCACTATCTGAAGGGGATTGAATACCAGCATCCTTGGATACTCGAACCTCTTATATAAAATGGCCTAGGATGGCCGGGTGCCGTGGCTCACGCCTGTAATCCCAGCACTTTGGGAGGCTGAGGTGGGCAGATCACGAGGTCAGGAGATCGAGACCATCCTGGCTAACACAGTGAAACCCCATCTCTACTAAAAAACAGAAAAAATTAGCTGGATGTGGTGGTGGGCACCTGTAGTCCTAGCTACTCGGCAGGCTAAGGCAGGAGAATACGGTGAACCCGGGAGGCGGAGCTTGCAGTGAGCTGAGATCGTGCCACTGCACTCCAGCCTGGGCGACAGAGTGAGACTCCATCTCAAAATAAATAAATAAATAAATAAAATGGCCTAGGATTTGCATATAACCAACACACATCCTCCCATATACTTTATTTTTATTTATTTATTTATTTATTTATTTATTTATTTATTTATTTTTGGAGATGGAGTCTCTCTCTGTCATCCAGGCTGGAGTGCAATGGCATAATTTCAGCTCCTTGCAACCTCCACCTCCCGAGTTCAAGCAATTCTCCTACCTCAACCTCCCAAGTAGCTGGGACTACAATCATGAGCCACCATGCCCTGCCACCCTCCCATATACTTTAGATCATCCCTAGATTACTTATAATACTTAGGACAATGTATTATAGTTGTTGTTTTGAGACAGAGACTCACTCTGTCCCCTAGGCAGGAGTGCAGTGGCACGATCATGGCTCATTCCAGCCTTGACCTCTTGAGCTCAAGTGATCCTCCCACCTCAGCCTCCTGAGTATCTAGGACTACAAGCATAAGCCACCATGCCCGGCTAGCCTTTTTTTTTTTTTTTCTCTCTCTTTTTTGGAAGAGACGAGTTCTCACTGTATTGTCCAGGCTGGTCTTGAACTCCTAGGCTCAAGCAATCCTCTGGCCTCAGCCTCCCAAAGTGCTGGGATTACAGGTGCTAGCCACTGAGCCCGGCAATACCTACAACAATGTAAATGCTATGTAAATAGTTGTCATATTGTATTGTTTTTAAATTTGTATTATTTTTAATTGTTGAATTGTTATTATTATTTTTTGAAGTATTTTCAATCCACTGTTGGTTGAATCCTCAGATGAGGAACTCATGAGGTGTGGAGGGCCGGCTGTATATTGTTCAGCAAGTCAACTAATCTAAGACGTTTAAGCTTGTGGTTCTCATCGTGCTACAGATTCAAACTGCCCAACCCTACCCCAGGTCAGTTAGATTAAAACTTAGAGTAGTCCCTTTTCAGATCCTGAATGGATCCATGTGCCCTCCACCTGACAAAAAGCTAGTGGTGAGGGTTGAGGGGAAGTACCTTTTTTCCACCTCCCACTTCACAGGAGAAGGCTTTTCTTTCACTGTTTTCAGATTATTTTTATTTATTTATATTTTATTTTTTGAGACAGGGTCTCACTCTATCACCATGCAGTGGCGTGATCACAGCTCACTGCAGCCTCAATCTTCCAGGGCTCCCCAGTAGCTGGGACCTGCAGGCATATGCCACCACGCCCGGCTAATTTTTGTATCTTTCGTAGAGATGGGATTTCACCATGTTACCCGGGCTGATCTCCAACTCCTGGGCTCAAGCAATCCTCCTGCCTTGGCCTCCCAAACTGTGTGTGTGTGTGTGTGTGTGTCTGTGTGTGTGTGTGTGTGTGTCTGTGTGTGTGTGTGTTTTGAGACGGAGTCTTGCTCTGTCCCCCAGACTGGAGTGCAGTGGCAAGATCTCGGCTGACTGCAAGCTCCGCCTCCCGGGTTCACCATATTCTCCTGCCTCAGCCTCCCTAGTAGCTGGGACTACAGGCACCTGCCACCATGCCCAGCTAATTTTTTTTTTTTTTTGGTATTTTTAGTAGAGACGGGGTTTCACGGTGTTAGCCAGGATGGTCTCAATCTCCTGACCTCATGATCAGCCTGCCTCGGCCTCCCAAAGTGCTGGGATTACAGGTGTGAGCCACCACACCCAGCCGTGTTTTGTTTTTTTAAGACAGGCTCTTGCTCTACTGCCAGGCTCTAGGGTGCAATGACAGCTCACTGTAGCCTCAACCTCCCGGGCTCAAGCGATCCTCCCACCTCAGGGTCCCAAGTAGTGGGAACCACAAAAGTGGACCACCACACCTGGCTATTCATTTGATTCTTAACCCAGACAAATTAAATCGGTATTTCCAGAGGTGGGACCCAGGAGTATGTATTATGAAAGCTCCCAGATGTCTAATGAGCAGCATGGCTGGAAAACCACTGCTCTTGATGGCCCTGGCCCCTGCTCAGCTGTCACCAAGTAAAGCACCCGGTGTGAATGAAGCCCTCACCATCAATCTCTATGATGGGCTGAATTGTGCTCCCCTCAATTCCTATGTTGAAATGCTAACCCCTGGTACCTCAGAATGCAACCATATTTGGAGATAAGGCCTTTAAAGAGGTCATGAGGCCATTATGGTTGGCTCTGATTCTATCTGACAATACCCTTATAAGAGGAGGAAACATGGAGACACAGGCAGACACCAGGGATGCAAACACATAAAGGAAAGGTCAGTTGCAAGCAACAGAGAGAAGGCCTTGCAAGAAACCAAACCTGCCAACACCTTGATCTCTGACTTCCAGCCTCCAGAGTGGTGAGAAAATAGACATCTGTTGTTTAAGCTGCCCATTCTGTATGTTATGGCAGCAATATCAAACTAATACACTCTGCAAAATGAGAGCCACCTCATGCATAGGTAGGGGGTGTGCAGGGATAGCTCAACTCCCAGGTGACTCCGGGACACAAACAAATGCCCTTAGTGGGGGTTTCTTTTTCTTTCTTTCTTTTTTTTTTTTTTCCGGAATTGGGGTATTGCTCTGTTGCCTAGGCTGTAGTGCCATGGTGTGATCACAGTTCACTGCAGCCTCGATTTCTGAGCTCAAACAATCCTCCCACCTCAGCCTCCCAAGTAGGTGGACTATAGGAACGTGCCACTATGCCTGGCAAAATTTTTTTTCTTTTTTTTTTTTTTCAGAGATGGGAGTCTCACTCTTTTGCCTTGGCTGTTCCCAAACTCCTGGCGTCAGTTGATTTTCCTGTCTCTGCCTCTGAAAGTACTGGGATTATAGGTATGAGGCCCCCACACTTGTCCAAGGGTTTTTTTTTTTTTATTGTACCAATCTACCCTGATTTTCCAAGAAACAGCTTTCTCCCACTTTGGGGTATTTCCTAGAGACCAGTGCTGGTAGAGACTCCCTCTCAATTCTCTTTCTGGCCCCAACTCCCTTGATTTCTCTCCTAAACTGTGAGGGACAAAACCTTGAGGACGGAGAGAGATCAATTTTCACACTGTTTCAAAAGCTAGGGAAATATCTGTGTTCTGTCTGGTATAGGTAAGAAAATAATAAAAACAAATGATAACTGTATATTAGAATGGTCTGAAAGCTGATGGCCTAATATAAAAAAAGACCATACAATGTGAAGTTATGAAGAAGCAGAGGGCGTAAGTTCAACATGGTCTACAGATGCTGGGCAGGTCTGCTGGGGCGAGATTGCTACTTACCCAAGGTGGTTTCCATGGAGAAGGACAAGATGCTTTCTGCAGACTGAGTGGAGAGAAGACAAACTTTTCAGTTAGGCTTTGGGCCTGTAGCCAGTAATGTGAGTAGAGGGAGAATTTAAAAAGGGGAGTCTATTATTATTCAGTTTTCTCCACTTCTAGATGGTCTACACTATGAGCCTTGGACATGTGGGCTCCCTGAAGCCAGGGAGAGGAATGTCTAGTTCTGACTTTAGGAAAGCCAAAATTGGGATTGGGGTCTTGGAGCCACCTCTTACCAGTCAATATGGGGATACTCCCAGGCAGCAGGCTGGGCTCAGGAAACTACGTGCTCTCTTCCTTCTTCCTCCGGGAGTCCCATGTGTACCCGTTGTTTACCTCCAACATGTAGGTGAGAACATGCAGTATTTGGTTTTCTGTTGCTGAGTTGGTTCACTTAGGATAGCGGCCTCAAGCTTTATCCATGTTGCTGCGAAGGACATGACTTCATTCTTTTTTGTGGCTGCCTAGGACATTCTTAGATGACAAATTATGGCGACCCATGTTATCCCTAGCTCCTTCTGTCAAGAAAAAAAAGGGGTGGTCAGAGGCAGCCTCCAACTTTAATGGGTACTGCAAGGAAGAAGACTGGAGAACCGGTGACAGAAATGTACTCTGCTGGGTCAAGTGATTTAGCTGAGTTTTACCACTGCAAGGCTGGAGGAGACTGAGGCTTTGGGTAAATGCTCAGTCACTACCAGGTGGATTAAGGAAAAAACTCCAAGTAACAGTAATGAATCATCGGAGTAGAGGAGAAAAACTCCAAGTTATATCTAACACTGAAATCCTGAAATTGCATGTGTCTCTTCAGTGATTAGGAATGCATTACTATCAGCTATTGAATAAATACCTTATTTCGTACAAGTTTTTATTAATTTAAAAACAAGGCTGCAGCAAACCACCATGGCACGTGTATACCTATGTAACAAACCTGCACGTTCTGCACATGTATCCCATAACCTAAAGTATAATAATAATAATAATAATAAAAAACAAGGCCAGGCATGGTGGCTCACACCTGCAATCCAAGCACTTTGGGAGGATTGCCTGAGCTCAGGAGTTCGAGACCAGCCTGGGCGACATGATAAAAATCCCATGTCTACAAAAAATAGAAAAACTAGCCAGGTGTGGTGGCACGTGCCTGTGGTCCCAACTACTCAGGAGGCTGAGGTAGGAGGATTGCTTCAGCCTGGGAGGCAGAGGTTGCAGTGAGCCAAGGTTGCACCATAGCACTCCAACCTGGGTGACAGAGTGAGACCCAGCCTCAAAATACTACTACTACTACTAATAATAATAATAAAAACAAAACAAACTAAAACACTCAGGAGAGATTAGTGGTCTAAAAGCATATTTTTACAATGTATTCAGGGTTATTCCATTGTTTCTTAAAAACTACCTTTGGGAGCATCTCCCCAAACTTAGTTTGGAAGTGTTTTTTCTGGGTTGCAATAAACAAGCAAACAAAAAACTACCTTTTAATTAAAAGTAATCCTTAAATAGAGCTAACAATAAAATCAAACACACAAAAAAATTATCCATTTTAAAATTTTTTTTATATGAAGTCTTGCTCTGTTGCCCACCCAGGCTGGAGTGCAATGGTGCCATCTCGGCTCACTGCAACCTTCACCCCCCGGGTTCAAGCAATTCTCTCACCTCTGCCTCCCAAGTAGCTGGGACTACAGTCACGTGCCAGCACACCCAGCTCATTTTTGTATTTTTAGTAGAGACAGGGTTTCACAATGTTGGCCAGGTTGGTCTTGAACTCCTGACTTCAAGTGATCCCCTGCCTCAGCCTCCCGAGGTGCTGTGATTACAGGCGTGAGACACCGCACCCGGCCAAAATTCATCTAATAATTGTAAAGTAAATTTCCCTTCTGCCCCAGATCACAGTTACCTGTCTCTATTCCCAAAATAAATGGCTGTGTAGAATTTCTGATGTGTCCTTCAATATATATTCTCTGCGTCTACATACACTTACCTTCCCCTACCTTTTTATGTAAATGGGTGTTTATTATTCACATACTCCGTATTAAAATTGTGATTTATTAACATAATTTTACTGACTTATTTTAATTTGAATGGAGATAAATTTATAAAGGGGATTGATTATTAAGATTTTATGTTTAAATATTCGGAAGCAAACAGTAATGCATCTTATCTTCTGAGTAGGATGTGGGTTGAAACTGCAAAGGCAAGCATGAGATGTTTCATTAACACAAAGCCTTGAGTGCTCCAAACCCAAAAGTCAAAGCAACTTATCAATAAATGCCAAAGGATACTATTCTGACATATCTGTGTGCTGTGGTTTGAATGCAGACTCCAAATCTCATGTGTGGGAAACTTAATTTCCAATGTGGGACTATTGAAAGGTGGGGCCTTTAAGAGGTGATTGAATCATGAGGGCTCTGCCTTCATGAATGAATTAATCCATTCGTGGATTAATGGGTTGATGGGTTAATGGCTTATCATGGAAGGGGAGCTGGTGGCTTTATAAGAAGAGAAGAGAGACCTGAGCCAACATGCTCAGCCTCCTTCATGAGATGCCCTCTGTGGCATCAGGATGCTGCAGAGACCCCCAACCAGGTAAGAAGGCTTTTACCAGGCATGCCCCCTCTACTTTGGGCTTCCCAGCCTCCATAACTGTGAGAAATTCATTTTCTTTATAAACTACGCAGTTTCAGATATTTTGTTGTAAGCAACAGACAACGGACTAAGACACTGTGTTATCTAATTACGTGATTCTTGTTTTACTATTTATTTATTTAGCCTCTTGTCAGAAAAAAAATTTTTTTTTGAGATAAAGTCTCACTCTGTCACCCAGACTGGAGTGCAGTGCTGCTCTCATGGCTCACTGCTGCCTCGAACTCCCTGGCTCAAACGATCCTCCCACCTTAGTTTTTCAAGTAGCTGGGACTACTACAGGTGTGCGCCACCATGACTGGCTACTACTTTTTTTTTTTAATGTTGCCCAGGCTGGTCTCAAACTCCTGACCTCAAAAGATCCTCTTGCCTCAGCCTCCCAAAGTGCTGGCATTGTAGGTGTGAGCCACCACACCCAGCCCACCGAAAGTTTTTTCAGACATGTACCCGAGTGATTAAGAGTTTAGGATTGGCTGGGCACGGTGGCTCACGCCTATAATCCCAGCAGTTTGGGAGGCCAAGGCGGGCAGATCCTGAGGTCAGGAGTTCAAGACCAGCCTGAACAACATGGAGAAACCCCATCTCTACTAAAAATACAAAATGTGCCAGGTGTGGTGGCACATGCCTGTAATCCCAGCTACTTGGGAAGTCTGAGGCAGGAGAATCGCTTGAACCCGCAAGGGAGAGGTTGCGGTGAGCCGAGATCGTGCCATTGCACTCCAGCCTGGGCAACAGGCAACAAGAGTAAAACTCTGTCTCAAAAAAAAAAAAAAAAGAGTTTAGGATCTATATTCACTCTGCCTGGGTCCAAATCCTGGATGTTATTAACTGTATGACTTTGGGCAAGTTTATTAACACCTCCATTTTAAAAAAATCTGTACTAGGAATATAATAATAAATGCATACTCTCTCAGGATTTGATTAAATGGAATAAAATATATAGAATTCCTAGAACAGTGCCAGGAGTTTGAGGCCAGCCTGGGCAACATAGTGAGACCCCATCTGTACAAAAAATACATAAAAAATGAGGGGGGAATAGCGGTGCACACCTGTGGACTCAGCTACTTGATAGGCTGAGATGGGAGGATTGCTTGAGCCCGGGGGCCAAAGCTGCAGCAGTGCAGTGACTGCGTCCCAGTAATCCCAGCACTTTGGGAGGGCAAGGCAGGAGGATCCCTTGAGGCCAGGAGTTCAAGACCAGCCTGTGCAACATAAAGAGACCCCATCTGTACAACAACAACAAAAATTCTTACGCACTTAGTATTTGCCAGATATAATGCCAATTTCTAGGGCACAAAGGCAAATGGTAACTACCTCCCTGGATTGTTGTAAAAATAAAGCATGCAAAACATTTTGTGCCCCCAATGATCCCTTCCTCATGGTGTCCCCACACTTTTATTTTGTGCTGTCACAATGAGCAGGGCACCACCAGGATACTGGGAAATAATGACGTGTGATTTCCAAGACCAGGTCACAAAAAACATTTTGCCTTGCCCTCTTGAATCACCTGCTCTGGTGGAAACCAGACAACTGTTATTTATGTCATAGCATTCAAGCGGCCCTATGGAGAGGTCCATGTGGTAAGGAACTGAGGCTTCCTGCCAACAGCCAAGTGAAAGAGCCATCTTGGAAGAGGATCCGCCTCCCAAGTTGGCCAAGCCAACATTTTGAGTATAACCTCATAAGAGTCTCTGAGCCAGAACCACACAGCTAAGCTGCAGTAACTTTGAAGTAATAATGATTTATTGTTGTTAAGCCACTAAGTTTTGGGATAATTTGTTATGTAGTAATAGATAGCTAATACAGTTGTGCTTATTACGTTTGGTACTCGTTACTATCACCACCACATCAGTGCATTGTAGAAAACAAATTCTATGTATTAAACTGTTTTGTTTCCCCTCTGGATTAAGCTGGGCTCACAAGGGGAAAGGTGCCCACCAGAGTTTTTTTCTTTTTTATGTAATCAAGTTTTTAAAATTTTATTCTATTCTACTTTATTTTTTTAAGTTCCAGGGTACATGTTCAGGATATGCAGGTTTGTTATGTAAGTAAACATGTGCCATGATGGTTTGCTGCAGCTATCAACTCATCACCTAAGTATTAAGCCCAATATGCATTAGCTCTTTTTCATAACGCTCTACCTCCCTCCTACCCTCCCGTAAAAGGCCCCAGTGTGTGTTGTTCCCCTCCCTGTATCCATGTGTTCTCATTGTTAAGCTCTCCACTTATAAGTGAGAACATCTGGTGTCTGGTTTTCTGTTCCTGCATTAGTTTGCTGAGGATAATGGCTTCCAGCTTATGGATGTATAGTATTCCATGGTGTGTATGTACCAGATTTTCTTTTTTCTTTTCTTTTTTTTTTTTTTTTTTTGAGACGGAGTCTCACTCTGTCGCCCAGCTGGAGTACAGTGGCATGATCTCTGCTCACTGCAACCTCCGCCTCCCGGGTTCAAGCGATTCTCCTGCCTCAGCCTCCCGAGTAGCTGGGATTACAGGCGCATACCACCACGCCTGGCTAGTTTTTTGTGTTTTTAGTAGAGACGGGGTTTCACCGTATTAGCCAGGATGGTCTCAATCTCCTTACCTCAGGTGATCTGCCCGCCTCGGCCTCCCAAAGTGTTGGGATTACAGGCGTGAGTCACTGCGCCTGGTCAGTACCACATTTTCTTTAACCAGCCTGTCGATGGAAATTTGGGTTGATTCCATGTCTTTGCTACTGTGACTAGTGCTGCAATGAACATACACAAAATTATCTGAATGATTGCAGTAAACATCATATATTTGTTTGCCAGCTACCATAATAAAATACCATAGATTGGGTGGCTTAACCAACAGAAATTTATTTTCCCACAATTCTGGAGGCTGGAAGTCCAAGATCAAGGTGTTGGCAGGGTTGGTTTCTTCTGAGGCCTTGGCTTGCAAGATGGCCACCTTCTTGCTATATCTTTACATGATCATTCCTCTGTGTGTGTTCGTGTCCTAATTTTTTCTTCTTATAAGGACACCAGTCATTTTGGATTAGGGCTCTTTCATATGACTTCATTTTAATCTTAACTGCTTCTTTAAAAGCCCTATCTGGAAATAAAGTCACATTCTGAGGTTACTGGGGGATAGAATTACAACAAATGAATTTTGGGAGGACACAAATCAGCCCATAACACATCATTGCCAGCATCACATGTGGAGCATTCAACTGGAGAAACTGCCCTAATTTCTCATTTGAAGGTCTAAACATCTCTTTTATCAAAATAAGCCAGGTTCTATTAAGAAGGCTGAATGTGCATCTGGCTCGATCAACAGGCGTCTGGCTGCTTCAAATGCTTGATTTTTTTCATTCTCAGAGAATGAAATCAATGTTGAAATATTGAGTATATTCTATACAAAATCTTCATGTCACAATGAATAAGAAAAGTAGTTTTTTTGAGACAGGATCTTGCTCTGTAGCTCAGGCTGCAGTTTTTGGAGTGCACTGGTATGACATAACTCGCTGTAGCTTCCATTTCTTGGGTTCAAGTAATCCTCCCACCTCAGCCTCCTGAGTAGCTGGGACTATAGGCATGTGCTACCACTCCAGGTTAATTATTATTATTATTATTTTTGAGACGGAGTCTCGCTCTGTTGCCCAGCCTGGAGTGCAGTGGCGCCATCTCTGCTCACTGCAAGCTCCGTCTCCCGTGTTCACGCTATTCTCCTGCCTCAGCCTCCCAAGTAGCTGGGACTATAGACGCCCACCACCACACCTGGCTAATTTTTCGTATTTTTTTAGTATTTTTTTGTATTTTTTTAATAGAGATGGGGTTTCACCATGTTAGCCAGGATGGTCTCAGTCTCCTGACCTCGTGATCCACCCGCCTCAGCCTCCCAAAGTGCTGGGATTACAGGCGTGAGCCACCGAATCCAGCCACTCCAGGCTAATTATTTTATTGTATTTTTAGTAGAGATGGGGTCTTGCTATGTTGCCCAGGCTGGAATCAAACTCCTGGGCTTAAGCAATCCTCCTGCCCCAGCCTCCCAAAGTGTTGGGATTATAGGCACCAGCCACTGCACCCAGTCAAGAAAATATTTTCTAATACTGAATACAGCTAAAGAATGGATGGTAAACCATTATTGTCCAGTCAGGATCACTGTCATCCAAGTGGGACACTCAGTATTTGAGATTCTGGGTGGTGCTATAATACTTGTTGCCTTGGTATCTGAGTGAGCACTTAGTCTAAGTATAATAATTTTCTGGAGGAGTATATTAGGGTTCTCCAGAAAGACAGAACCAATAGAATGGATGAATAGATAGATGGATAGATAGATAGAAAGATAGATTGATAGGGCCGGGCGCGGTGGCTCACACGTGTAATCCCACCACTTTGGGAGGCCAAGGCAGGCAGATCACGAGGTCAGGAGATCCAGACCATCCTGGCTAATGTGGTGAAACCCCATCTCTACTAAAAATACAAAAAACTAACCAGACGTGGTGGCAGGCACCTGTAGTCCCAGCTACTCGGGAGGCTGAGGCAGGAGAATGGCGTGAACCCGGGAGGCAGAGCTTGCAGTGAGCCGAGATCACGCCACTGCACTCCAGCCTGCGACAGAGCGAGACTCCGTCTCAAAAAAAAAAAAAAAAGAAAGATAGATTGATAGATAGATATGTGAGTATGTGAGGGGATTTGTTAGGGGAACTGTCTCATGCAATTATGAAGGCTAAGAAGTTCCACAGCAGGCCATCTGCAAGCTGGAGATCCTGGGATGCTGACAGCATGGCTCACTCTGAGTCCAAAAGCCTCAGAACTAGCGGTGTAATTCTCAGTCCAGTGCTGAAGGCCTGAGAAGCTAGGGAGTGAGGGTGCACTGCTAGTGCAAGTTGTGGAGTCCAAAGACCAGAGAGCCTTGAGTTGTGACATCTAAGTACAGGAGAGGAAGAGTGTATCTCAGCTCCAAAAGGTAGATCAACACATTCACCTTTCCTCTGTTTTTGTTATTTTCAGTACTGGCCTTTGGATGGCACCCACCTACATGGAGGGCAGATCTTCCCCACCTAGTCCACTCACACTCATGCGTTAATCTCTTCTGGAAACACAGACACACCCAAAGATAGTACTTTACCAGGTTTTTAGGTATTCTTTAATCCAGTCAAGATGACACCTAAAATTAACCATCGCAAGGGTATATTCAATCTGAATGGCCAAAATTATCTGATAGAGCCTTCATATACTTGTACTTAACAGATGTACTCTTGGGATTAAATGAGTTTATGCTCAAGAAATGATATTAGCCAGGCATAGGGGTGCATGCCGTTGTCCTAGCTACCGTGGAGGCTAGGGCAGGAGGAGCATTGCTTGAGACTGGGAGCTTGAGGCTGCAGTGAGCTGCGATGGTTCCACTGCACTCCAGCCTGGGTGACTGGGCAAGACCCCACTGCAAAGAGAGAGAGGCAGAGAGAGAGAGTAGAAATGGTATCTGTTATTTTACATTAAAAGTTCTGGAATAGGGGAGTGCTATGGTCTGAACGTATCCCTCCAAAGTTCATGTTGGAACTTATGACCCAATGTGATAGTATTAAGAGGTGGGGCTTTTACGAGATGACTAGGCTATTAGAGGCCTACCCTTATGATGAATGAATTAATGTCCTTATCAAAAAGATTCCATTTCCACTATGCTGAGAGCGGAAAACAAACAAACAAACAAACACAAATGAGGTTCCACACAGCACTCATCCTTTTTGCCCTTCCACCCTTCTGCCATGTGAGGACAAAGCAGCAAGTCTCCATTTTGGAAGCAGAGAGCAGCCCTCACCAAATCTGAATCTGTTGGTGCCTTGATATTGAACTTCCTAGCCTCTAGAACTGTAAGAAATGTTTCTGTTTTGTTGTTGTTTTTTCCGAGACGAAGTCTCGCTCTTGTTGCCCAGGCTGGAGTGCAATGGTGTGATCTTGGCTCACTGCAACCTCCGCCTCCCAGGTTCAAGGGACTCTCCTGCCTCAGCCTCCTGAGTAGCTGGGATTACAGGCACGTGCCACCACGCCTGGCCAATTTTTGTACTTTTAGCAGAGGTGGGGCCTCACCATGTTGGCCAGGCTGGTCTCAAACTCCTGACCTCAGGCGATCTGCCCACCTCGGCCTCCCAAAGCACTGGAATTGCAGGCACGAGCCACCGCTCCCAGCTGAGATGTTTCTGTTCTTTGTAAATTACCCAGTCTCAAGTATTTTGTTATAGCAGCAAAAGCAAATTAAAGAAGGTATAATATCAGGCTCTCTTCTGATTCCCTAGGCTCTGCTGCACGAATTGTATTTCCAGAAGTTCCCATAGGAAGTTCTCAGGAAATGAAATGGATATGAGGTAACCTCATGTCGGGGAGTCAGTCTATGGAGGATCATAATCATACAACAACATGGTCCACCCTTGCTATAATCTATTTTTTTTTTTTTTTTGAGACGGAGTTGCTCTGTCACCCACGCTGGAATTCAATGGCGTGATCTACGCTCACTGCAACCTCTGCCTCCCAGGTTCAAGAGAGTCTCCTGTCTCAGCCTCCTGAGTAGCTGGGACCACAGGCACACAACACCACACCTGGCTAATTTTTTGGATTTTTGGTAGAGACTGGGTTTCGCCATGTTGCCCAGGCTGGTCTTGAACTCCTGAGCTCAGGCAATTTACCTACCTTGCCCTCCCAAAGTGTTGGGATTACAGTCGTGAGCCACTGCACCCAGCTGTTTTCTGTTTTCTGACTTTTATTTTTGAGACAGGGTCTCGCTCTGTTGCCCAGGCTGGAGTGCAATGGTACAATCTCGGCTCACTGCAACATCTGCCTCCCGGGTTCAAGTGATTCTCCTGTCTCAGCCTCCACAGTAGCTAGGATTACAGGCGCCCGCCACCACACCCAGCTAATTTTTGTATTTTTAGTGAAGACGTGGTTTTGCCATGTTGGCCAAGCTGTTCTCAAACTCTTGACTTCAGGTGATCCGCCCACCTTAGCCTACCAAAGTGCTGGGATTACAGGCACGAGCCACTGCGCCCGGCCTTGTTTTCTGTTTTGTTTGTTTGTTTTTTAAGAGATAGGGTCTTGCTCTGTCAGCTAGGCTGGAGTGCAGTGGCACAATCAGCTCACTGCAGCCTTGAACTCCTGGGCCCAAGAAATCCTCCCACCACAGCCTTCTGAGTAGCCAGGACTATAGGTGAGCACTGGTTAAATTTTTAATTTTTTTTTGTAGAGACAGAGTCTTGCTATGTAGTATAGGCTGGTCTCAAACTCCTAGCCTCAAGTGGTCCTCCAGCCTCAGCCTCCCAAAATTTGGGAATTTCAGGCATGAGCCACTGCATCTGACCGTACAAAATGTTAATAAACTGGCCAGGTGTGGTGGCTCATGCCTGTAATCCCAGTACTTTGGGAGGCTGAGGCAGGGAGATCACCTGAGGTCAGGAGTTTGAGACCAGCCTGGCCAATGTGGTGAAACCCCCATCTCTACAGAAAATACAAAAATGAGCCAGGCGTGGTGGCCCATGCGTGTAATCCGAGCTACTTGGGAGGCTGAGGCAGGAGAATCGCTTGAACCTGGGAGGCGGAGGTTGCAGTGAGCCGAGATCAGAGCACTGCACTCCAGCCTGGGTGACAGAGTGAGACTCCGTCTCAAAAAAAAAAAAAGTTAATAAACCTTTTACTCCTGGCCTCAAGTGTTCCGGCTGCCTCAGCCTCCCAAAATGCTGGGATTACAAGCATGAGCCATTTATTTTTCTTTTTTTGAGACGGGAGCTCACTCTGTTACCCAGGCTGGAGTGTAGTAGCATGATCACAACTCACTGCAACCTTGAACTCTTGGATTCAAGTGATCCTCATGCCTCAGCCTCCTGAGTAGCTGGGACTATAGGTGCACACTGACATGCTCAGCTCATTCAAAAATTTTTTCATAAGAGATGGAGGGGGGGGTCTTGCTATGCTGCCCAGCCTGGTCTTGAACTCCTGGACTCAAGCGATCCTCTTGCCTTGGCTTCCCAGAATGCTAGGATTACAGGTGTGAGCTACTGTGCCTGGCTTTTGATTTTTAGACAGGGTCTTGCTCTGTTGCCGAGGCTGGAGTGCATTGGTGTGATCATAGCTCACTGCAGCCTTGAATTCCTGAGTTTAAGTGATCCTCCTGCTTCAGTCTCCCAAGTTGCTAGGACTACAGGTGTGTGCCACCACGCCCAGCTACTTTATGAACGTTTTGATTCCAAAGTCTGAAAAAAGTTTTCCAGATTCATCTCCAGGTCAAATAATGTCCCTGCTGTCAGGCATCCTGCTTTAGAAGCAAGATGTAGCATTTTTCTTCCTTTACTTGCAGCAGGCAGCTAATAACTGTTATCCTGTGCTGGACCATCCATGTTCTACGCATTCTAACATGTGCTTTACATAAAAAATTAGCCCAAGTGACCCTCACTGTGACATTACACGGTACGTATTATTAATCTTTTTTTTTTTTTTTTTTTTGAGGTGGGGTCTCACTTTGTCGCCAAGGCTGGAGTACAATGGCTTACGCCTGTAATCCCAGCACTTTGGGAGGTTGAGTTGGGAAGATCCCTTGAACCCAGGACTTCGAGACTAGCCTGGGCAACATAGGAAGACCCCCATCTCTAGAAAAAATAAAAACATAGCCATGCATGGTGGCATGTGCCTGTGGTCCCAGCTACTTGGGAGGCTGAGAAAGGAGGATCACTTGAGCCTGGGAGGTTGAGGCTGCAGTGAGCCATGATCATGCCACTACACTCCAGCCTGGGTGACAGAGTGGGACCCTATCTCTAAAAAGAGAGAGAGAGAGAAAGAGGGAGAGCTTTTAAAAAATGGCAAAATGTGCCCACAAGCTGATGGGCCTATTTTTCTTTTTTTTTTTTTTTTATTGAGACGGAGTCTTGCTCTGTCACCCAGGCTGGAGTACAGTGGCGTGATCTCGGCTCACTGCAACCTCTGCTTCCCGGGCTTAAGCGATTCCCCTGCCTCAGTCTCCTGAGTAGCTGGAAATACAGGCACCCGCCACCATGCCTGGCTAATTTTTGTATTTTTAGTAGAGACAGGGTTTCACCACATTGGCCAGGCTGGTCTCGAACTCCTGACCTCAGGTGATCCGCCTGCCTCGGCGTCCCAAAGTGCTGGGATTACAGGCGTGAGCCACTGCACCCAGCCAATTTCTATTTCTTATAGAGCTTACGGTAGGAGGCTTGAAGATGGGAACAGAAGAAAAAAGGTTGAAGGGCCCAGCTGCTGTGTGTTGCAAGACAGGAAATTGCTGACAGTCTGCAATGCCAGCAGCCTCATGGGTGGTTATCACCAGGACAGAGGCCTCAGAACAGGCAGGACTGGGTGTGCTGGCACTCACGGCTACGTGCAGATAGAGCCCGCCCCTGGGCCTTGGTGTGTGACCTTCTTCCCAGGTGCTTCTTTGGGAAGCTGTACAGTGAGGGAGATGAGGCAGACTAAGGGCAGGACACACTAGCATAGGAGCGGTGGCAGCTAAGTAGGCTGACTGCCCAGGGATTGCAGAGTTCACCTGCACAGTATGACATCTCTCATCCTTTTGGATAGATTGTTCTATAAGGTGGCCTCCACCTACCCCCAACTCCCAAATCTGACATTCATTCATCTACTTCCCCTGAAGTGCTCCCTAGCACTTGCCATGAGTTTGTTCACTCTTGGGACCCCAAATCCAAGGCATCTCACTGGCTGAGATTCAGTTTACCACCTCATTGATGGGGGGACTCTTATGTCACAGAAGTAATTTTCTCACTGATAGGACCCAAGATGTCATCCTATTTTTAATGTGGGTACAAATACTAAGTAAATATGATCTTAGTGTTTTGCCAAAAGGAATTAAGATGTTTTTAATGGGTCACAAATTCAGAAAGGGGTTGGACCTGGTGGGACAGGTTGGTGAGGCCCAGACGCTCCACTTCAAGTGCAGTACTGGACATCCCCTTCCAGTACGGGAGGTCTGACTTGTGCAGTCAAGCCCAATACTGGCACAGCCACAGGCCAGGGATGGAGGCTTATGAGTCCACTGGAAAACAGGGAGGACTGAGTCCAGGGTCTCAAGGGTTTAGTAGTGAGGGCTCCTGTGAGGAACCCTTCACTCAGTGGTGTTCATTACCGGCCCCTTCCTTAGTATGTTCCAGGCCCTGAGAATGTACCTTGCATGCTCTGACCCTTTGAACACCAAAGAAATAAGCAAGGAGGTAACAGATGCCCCAAAGAGATGAATGGTGTCATGAGATCTGGGGGCTGGGACCTTGTCCAGCCTAAAGGTGTAAGTACCATGGATGAGCAGTGTCTTATTTAATCAGCAACTAGAGATTTCCTGAGGTTTAACTGGGAAAGCAGGTTCATATACTACAAGACACCAGGTGCTTCACATTGCTTCTCTTTATTTTCAACAGTTTCTTTACAACAGTCTACACAGGGATTAACTCCTACATGTACTTCCCAAGCCAGAATCTCCCTTTAGAAATTCAGATTCTATTTCTAACTCTATAAGATGTATCTCCCCAAAGATCACATTAACTCCTCAAGTCAACATCTGCCTACCCCCAACTTCCCCTTTTTTTCCTCACTGAACATTTGTCTGAATGTTTTTTCCTCACTGAACATGTTTTCCTCACTCACACTGAACATTTGTCTGAAACTGTGGCTGCTTTGTTGCTTCAAGATGCATGCACATCCTGGCTTTAGTGTCCAAGTATGCAGAATGAAGCATTTGATATGTGCACCCAGCTAATTAGGCATGAAACAGGGGCACAGGATGGGCTCCGGGTCATAGAAGGTTCTGTCCCCACAGTGAGGACAGGGGTTGGCACTAAGCCAGACCATGCTGGGCCGCCCCAACTCACACAGCAACTCCCTGAGCCTGGCATGCAGATAGGCAAGCCTCTCCAGGTGGAGGGTACCATGGATGTCCTCATAACTCTCCAGGGGGACAGGATACAGCACGTGGGTCAGATTGCTCAGCCCGATGAGGTGCTGCAGGAGACTCTGCAGGGCAGATATGGAGATGGAATTCCCGTAGAAGCTTAAGGTCGTAAGCTGGGAGCAGTGGCTCAGGGAAGGCAGGAGGGCAAGGAGCTGATCATCCGTGATCCCACACTCATCAAAGACCAGGTCCTGGAGGGTGGCAGAGGCTCTCTCCAGCAGAGCTTGGAGGGGCTCGGGACTTACATCGGTCAGCATGACCCCACTTAGACTCAGGACACTTAGCTGACTGACGCTGGGACTCTGGGACAGATGCATCACATCCCCTTCCGAAAGCCGGCAGTTAGTTATTGAGAGGGTTTCCAAGGGGTTCATCACGTGCCTGCAAATAGACAAAGCAGTTAGTGCTGGGGAATGGTGGTAGTGGGGTGGGGAGACTGGAGAGAGGCCCATTTCACCAAAACCCAAAGTCTTCCTGATGATGGTTAACCGCCAGGATGCCATGCTGTAACGGAGCATTCAAGGAGTACAAGTTCAGGTTTAGTCCTTTCTCCATCATTTGCTGTGTAAGTGGGTCAAGTAAACAAAGATCTCAAACACTCCCTTGGCTCATCTGTGAGGCAGGGTCCAACACAGACCTCTTAGGTGGTGTGAGCATGAATTGAATTGAGAGCCTGATTTGATGTCTCAAGCAAGGAAAGGCATCAGTGAATTTTAGTATTTGAAGATACAACTGAAAATACTTTCTTTCAACTCGGGCTTCCTTCTGCCACTGCCTGGGCCCCAGTCACCTCTATCTCTGTGCCTGATGAAGCTACTAGGGAGTATTCACAGTGGACAAACTGGGGCAAGGTCAGCAACATCCAAAGGGGGTTCCCAGGCTGCAGGGCTACCTTAGGTCACTGTATCATCAGCAAACCACCTATCAATTTTTGCAATTTCTCTGTTGTTCCTTCTCCCACATCTCCAGAATCCTGCATTTCCCACCTATTACCCTAACTGGAATTCTAAATCACCCTTTACAGACAGGAAATTTGAGGCAGGTTTAGAGGGAGCAGCTCATGTTGAGAAGCTGGTGAGCGCACAGCTTACAATTTCAAATCTCACCTTTGATGGGCTTTCCCTTCTTCAATGCCCTCCTTGCTTACTTTTGATCATCTTAGGCATCACTTCCTAAGGAAGAATGCCTAAAGCCACCCTTGCCAGGCCCCAACCTCCCATTACAGAGTTTTCTAACAAGGAGTCACTGTTAATAGCATCTATCCTAATGTATACCTCTAACCCTTATGAGTAGTAGTTATGTGATACCATGCTTGGGGACAGTGGTGAACAAGACGTGTTAACTGGTAGTGACTTGCTCACTCTTGCATTATTGGTGGCTGGCACATACAAGATATCCTTTATTGTTTACTGCAATAAGGAAGGGCTTGCTCTGGTCTGCAGAGAAATCTCACCATCCCTCACCTGAGCAACTGATCCAGGCGGCCTCTAAGGAAAAATAAAGAGTCCACATAGAGAGCCTGCAGGCACTGCAGACTGAGGAACTGAGAGGTGAACTGGGCGATATACTGCTCTTCCTTCTCCGGGGAAATGTAGGAAGATGCATGGATGTGGGAGAGGAGGAGTCTACGCAGATTAATCATCTGGCCCAGGTAAGGAGAAAATTTCGCCAAGGTGGGTAGCTTCCAGGTACAAGTCACTTCCAAATCTTCAATAGAGTCCAGCTGCACCATTTTCAGGATCATCTTGATATCCTGCATGGGCATTGCAAAAATCTTCAGCTTCTTACAGCACAGGCGTAGTACATTTTTCTTTCGCTTCACTTTCTCAATGAGGTAGGAGAACAATTCATCACAGGCACCTTCCTTGAGGAACAGGTCTACGAGCACCTCTACTGGAATGAAGGGCTGCTCTGCCTCTGTGCTCAAACCATCTACTTTTCGCTTCTTTGTCATGGGCTGAGCTGCTTCTGGCTCTGGAAATGAGTACAGACTGGCCCTGTTTCCAGACCATACAGTCCAGAAGTCCTGATGAGAGTTCTTCCGTAAATCCAGCACTTGAAGTTTCCACCTCCTGTGGGGAAAAACAGGTAATTAGCTGAGATGATGCTTTAAGATCAACTCAAAATAAGACCATGAGTCTCATAATGTAGGTAAGAACCAAACAGACATCCACCTTAGATCTGCACTTTTACTTCGTACTTCAGGCATCAGCTGCTCCCTTTCCCACTAGGATCCTGGGATCCTTCCTGGTCCCCAATTCCCACCCCACCAGGAGGAAGCAGGTGCATGTTCCTTCAGACACCTCTGCATTTTAATCAGTGCCCCATGTCCAGAAGCCCATTCCAAGAGTGACCCCTGCAGTAGCCCCAAGGCCTCCCTGAACTTCCTTGCTGGCAACCATCAGAGCCTCTGGCCCAGCCTTAGGCGCTCCATGCTCCCTGACCCCAGCTGCATCCTGCTCAGGTTCCCAGGGCCCCACACCAAGCTGCTAGGTCACCCTTACCTGGGGCGAACCTCCTGGGCAAGGAGCACATCAAGTCCATCAAGCACAGCTTTGAAGGTCTCCAGGTGAAGATGTTGTCCCTTCATCAGCACTCCCAGAGGGAGGCAGGTGAAGGGCCAGGCCTGCACCATTGCCTTCAGGGTCTGGCTGTGTCTCCCGTCAAAGGCTGCCATGAAGAGTGGCGGGAAGAGCTCCCTGGGCAGCAACTCCAGGGCGGCAATGGCCAGGGCCTCATCCTTCAGCAGGCTCTGCCCTGCCAGCTCCACAAGTCTCCGTGGGCTTGTCCACACACTCATGCTGATGTATCGGCTCTGAATGGAACCCTGAGGAAACATACAGGGAACAAGGCATCCCTTTCAGCCCAAGCATAAGCAACTCTATCTTTTCCTCACCCTTCTGAGGGACCAACTTAGGGCCAAAGTCACTGTGCTAGCAACAGCAGGGGAGTTCTCAGTTTACCCCGATTCCACTCTGCACTCGGTGGCCACAAAGCCACAGCTCTGCTGGCACCAGGATGAACATCTCATCAAGTGTAGAGGAGGGGACAGGACGGCCACTGGCACCATCTTGTATCTACCCACTACTCTATTTAATTCTAGTCCCCCTGGGAAGTGAGAACTAAGGAGCCTGAGGGCTGACCCTGCTCATTTTGGGAAAAAGTTTCTGATGATCACTCAAAGGCAATTCAAATGGGAGTGTCACATAGCCCAGGACAGCATCCTTCTCTGCTCCAACAAATAAGCCAGATGGGAAAGATGAGGAACACACACACAATGCACAATGGATGCCATTATGTTTCACTAAAAAATTTTAAATGAGAAACTACAGAAGCAGCACAACAGTATTACATAGCAATTGGAAGTACAATAAAAAAAAAACATTCTGAGACATGTATTTTAAGTGCGTCTCTTTTACGTATATTAAGAGTTACTACTTTGACATGGAAATCAGCGGAGCAAACACTTCACAGTAAAACAAAGCCTGGTTCTTTTCTCCCAAAACATTAGTTTTAAAATGGAGAAATAAAAATTGTGTATATTTATGGTGTACAATATGATGCTCTGAAATATGTATACATTGTAGAATAGGTACCTTAAGCTAATTAACATACATATGATCTCACATATGTGTGGTGAGAACACTTGAAATATACTCTTAGCAATTTTCATGTATACAATACATTATTAACTACAGTTACCATCTTGTATACTAGATATCTTGAAAAAGCCTCCACCCTCCAGCACAGTGGCTCATGTCTGTAATCCCAGCATTTTGGGAGGCCAGGGTGGGAGAATGGTTTGAGCCCAGGAGTTCAAGACCAGCCTGGGCAACACAAGGAGACCTCATCTCTATTAAAAAAAAAAAAAAGAAAAAAAAGAAAGAAAATGTCTTTAATTCCAAAGCATCTGAAAAGAAAAAGAAAAAAATCTATGGAATATTTTTTAACCTTTTAGTTAAAATGGAATATTTTTTAACCTTGTAGTTAAAATGGAATATTTTTTAACCTTGTAGTTAAAAAAAAGCCTAACTAGTAAATCACTGATTTAAAAAATCATAAATGATGCAAATTATAATTGCTTGCCACATACTATTTAAATTGTAATAAAGTAAAATTCAAAGTAGATGTCTTTTATTTTCCAAAAAAAAAAAAAAAAGCCGTTTAAGAAATTATTTTTAACATATACAAAATGGCAGAAATCAAAATGTTTGGGATTCAATATAAATAATAAATGTTCCAGGTAATGGTTATACTAATTACCATAATTTGATCATTACATACTATATATGCATAAACTGAAATTTCACATGTACCCTATAAATATGTACAATTATTGTGTATCAATTAAGAAATCAATCCAATAACCAAATAAAAATGTTTGGGATTAAGGCAAAACTACATTTAGAGACAAGAACAAAGCCTGTTCCTTTGTAAGGAAAGAAAAAGGAAAACCATCTAAGCAGCATTGGCCCTCATGGCCCGTGGAGACCCTGAGGTGACAGTAGAAGGAGGCAGTGGCCATAGCCTGAGGCTCCCGACTCACCAGACCCAGCTGTGGTGCAGAAGCCATCTGCCCAGACCTCTGGGAAGACCACAACATTGACTCCATGGCCTCTGGGTCCCTCCTCTGGCCCCTCTGAAGCTATTACAGGCCTTTCTGGGCATACCTCCCCTTTCAACTCCACGCTGCCAACGGAAGAGCCAAATCTAATTACATTCCTGGATCTCCAGCCAGTGAATCCTGATGGGGTTTTTTACTTACTTCAGGTTCAACTGATTGAATGGGATGTCTATTTACAAAAAGGAAAGAAAAAGTGAACAAAACCACCCAGAGAGTATAACTGTTAGGGGAATTTTTGGCCACATCAAAATTACCCAAATAGTCCAGTTAAGATAGCTTTATGAAGAGCATCATGACATCACCCCTTCCCACTCCCAAACAATCCCCAAGTATCAAATTGTCACTTATACCCCATGTTCCCTAACACAGCAAATCACATGCCTATCCAAGGAAAAAGGGAGGAACAACAGAGGGGTGGCTGGTCTTCCAGACTTTGAAAGTCAAGGCTGTCCTGAAGGAAGGTGGGTCAAAATTACACTACAATTAGGAGTTAGTCAGAAGTAAGGCTGGGCATTTGTAATGGGACTGAGTGGATTACCACAAAGACAGATAGGTTTTTTTGGGGGCGGAATTGAAAGACTTTGGCCTGGATGGAGTAGAGAAATTAAAAAGGGGAATGGCTAAGGAAGATGAAAGATAGTTCCAGTAAAGCCAAGGTAATCACTGAGGCAGGGAGGGAGTTCAATCTTCCTCCCTCCCTAGAGGGAAAGGGTGTTTTCTCCCAGAAAGTCAGGATCCTCTTGGCAAACAGCCTTGACAAGATTAAATCTAGGAATGTGGGCTGGAGAGGTGGGATAGAGAGTAATATTGGTGACCAAACCTAGGACAGCAACATTTTCAAGTCTGAAAGACCTTGTGGTTTCTTAGGAATCTTGGAGCCAGGAAAGAAATAAACAAGGGCTGAAAGCACACATCCCTGCAATTAAAGAAGTTGTCAGAAGACCTTCTCTTTATGGTTAGGTGTCCTCTTCCACACTGGGGCTGTTCACAAGCAGCAGGTCAGGCCTTTACCACAAACATAATCTCCAATGGCCAGCCCCTTCCTAAGTATTACTAATGTTTCCACACTTCAAGAAAACAGCTGTTCTTTCTTGCCCCTAAGCTGCTCAGGTACAGAGATTCTGGTCAGCGAGATGCAATCAGGCCTATCAATTAGACTCAGTTTTTCTCTATTTCCATGCTAGGCACAGTGCACAAATACATTTTCCGTCACAAAAAATTGAAGTTATATTTGGCATTTAAGGATCTGCTTAGGGATGATTCCTATCCTGGGCCTGATCACCCACTGGTGCTTTTGAAGTTTTGGAACCTCTCCACCCAAAGAATTCTCCAGGCCATTCTCTGCCTCATGCACTGTGAAGTCCCTACAATTCTTATATTCTACTGGCAAGTGTCCAGCTGGAATGTCTTGCGGCCTGACTTTGTTTACTGTGGCCTGCGTAAGGAGGCTGTAATTCGTTGAAGGATGTTTTCCATTTTGGTTCTCTCTCTGGAGACTTTCTCCTACTTTTCACCCTCAACACCTAATGGCCTTTGTGAAAACCGGGTTAAACTACAATTTGTTCTACATTTCCTTTAATTCCCAGGCAATCATCTTCACTCATCAGCTGCGGGAGACTGAGATTAGTAATAAAGGTCATTGTCAATGTCCCTAATTATCAAGCAGCTACTGGGCACAGCAAAGGCCGCAGCAGCTCTCATTCATTACCTCAAATAGCCTTCACAGAGAATCTAAAGTTCACTGTCATTTTCATTTTTAGTCTTGTAAGTCCCTGACTCTGTCTGGGGAAGAACCTGCTCAGCTCCAAGCAAGCAGGAATTGGTAGCCCTTATGTGAGGAGTTTAGAAAGAGTTTCATTTCCCTCCCTATCAAACAATCTAAGTGTTAGAAAGGGCTGATAAGCTTCACATAAACCATGGAAAAACAGGAAAACTGAGTAAGTCCAACAGTTAGGGAAGCTTCCATGGGATCCCCGCTTCCAGGAGATCCAAGGGAGGAGGAGGAACCGCGATCAAGTGTGAGTTGTGTAATCTCTGAGCTGTGCAATCTCCCTGTGAGGCAGTGACACTCCTCTGTCCAGCTTCACACTGCCAGTTTGTCCAGTGGCACTGGAGGAAGCAGCACCAGGGGCACATTTGCACAAAGGTGCTGTCCTTCCTCCCAGTATAAGGGAGAAGTGAAAAGACTGGGGCCCAGCATGACTCCTAGGGTCCAGACATGAATTGGGGAGATATTTCTGCATGTCCTGTCTACTGGTTCTTATGGTCCTTGTGGGCTGCACAGGCCAGAGTGGCCTCTGAGCTCATCAGGTGGGTGGTCTGCACCCTCCTCTCTAGTCATAGAATCCCAGTGGGGACCCCCGAAGTATCTGCACCAGGTCCTTCAGGTGTTTTTTTTGGAGTGCAGTGGCGCAATCTTGGCTCACTGCAACCTCTGCCTCCTGGGTTCAAACGATTCTCCTGCCTCAGCCTCCCAAGTAGCTAGGATTACAAGCACACGCCCCCACACACGGCTATATTTTTGTATTTTTAGTAGAGATGGGGTTTCACCATGTTGGCCAGGCTGGTCTCAAACTCCTGACCTCAAGTGATCTGCCTGTCTAGGCCTCCCAAAGTGTTGAGATTACAAGAGTGAGCCACCATGCCCAGCCTCTTTTTCTTTTTTAGAGACAGGGTCTTACTATGTTTCCCAGACTGGTCTTGAACTCCTGGGCTCAAGTGATCCACCCATTTCAGCCTCCCAAAGTGCTGGGATTACAGGCTTGTGGATACCAACAGCACCCGAGCACGGTCCCACAGTCCAACGCACTGTGCCGTCCTTGAGCCTTTAGTTCCAGCACAAGTCTCCCGGCTTCAACCCAGGTTGCATGTTCTCCCTGATCTCCCCAGGTGGCACCCAAGGATGAGGCAGTGCAATCTTGTTGCTCACTTCCCAGGACCGACACTTACCCCTAATGGCCCAAGCCCATGGGGCAGTGAGATCAAAGCCTCCTGGAGCTCATACTCTCTGACACCACTGGAAGTGTGGGCTTTTGCGTCTGATTACCCCGGGGAAAGGTTCTGAATGTAATCGTGGCTTTGGCAATAAGGTCCACAATGCATTAAGATTTTTTTTTTTTTTTTGGAGGAGGAGTTTCACTCTTGTTGCCCAGGCTAGAGTGCACTGGCACCATCTTGGCTCACTGCAACCTCCACCTCCTGGGTTCAAGCGATTCTCCTGCTCCTGTCTCAGCCTCCCAAGTAGCTGGGACTACAGATGTGGGCCACCACGCCCAGCTAATTTTTTTTCTATTTTTAGTAAAGACAGGATTTCACCATTTTGGCCAGGCTAGTCTCGAACTCCTGACCTCAGGTGATCTGCCCACCTCGGCCTCCCATGGTACTGGGATTGGGATTACATGCATGAGCCACCATGCCTGGCCTAGGGTTAATTTTTATTTTTGGAGACGGAGTCTCGCTCTGTCGCCAGGCTGGAGTGCAGTGGCATGATCTTGGCTTACTGCAACCTTCGCCTCCTGGGTTCAAGCGATTCTCCTGCCTCAGCCACTTGAGTAGCTGGGACTACAGGTGCATGCCACCACGCCCGGCTAACTTTCTGTACTTTTAGTAGACGCGGGGTTTCACAGTGTTAGCCAGGAATGGTCTCAATCTCCTGACCTGGTGATCCGCCCGCCTCAGCCTCCCAAAGTGCTGGGATTACAGGCATGAGCCACCGTGCCCGACCCTAGGGTTGACTCTCATACAAAGACAGCACGGGAAGTGAAATGCTCTTTTGTGGAAATGACCAGAAACAATAAAAGCGGCTCCTGCCTCTTCGTCTACTGTGAGGGACCTCAGGATGCAGCTCCCATCTGGCTCGAGTGACAAGGACAGAGGGGAACAGGGCTTCTCTGAGCACCTCAGACAGCTCAGGGGACCTTCTTACCCACAAACGCCTTCGTTCCATTTTGAAGCGACTTAGGCTGGCCTCAGGACCTCCAACGCTTGGATTTCTAGGTCTCAGTCACTTGTTGCCACGCACGTCTGAGAGTAATAATCAAAATGCTCCAAAAAGAAGAATACATGTATAATATTTACGAAGCAACGGCCTCCTGTGAAAACCTCCGCAAATACTGCTGAGGAAACTGACAACTGGCGACTCAATCCCGCCCTTTCAGTGCAAATCTCTGGCTCCAAACCTGAGCACCAGTGTTTCCTGGGCTGAACCAGGGGGCAGGAGGAACAACAGACCATGTGGTTGGTCACAAGTGACCCCTGTGGTCAAGGACCCTGACTACGGTCTTGCAGCGACATTTCTGCCTCTGCTCCCGCCTTCCTAGGACGCCTACGCCACTGCCTGGGCCGTCCCCAACCCCCAGCACCTTCAGAGGGGCCGAGTCCCAGAGCATCCACCGCATTACAAATGCGCACCCACCCTGGAGAGCTCCAACCACGAGCACCGCCGCCTCGGTTCAAGGCATCCTTACAGCCACAACTCCTCAACTGGGGCCAATTTTCCGGGGCAGGCGGCCCGGGGTGACCCAAGTGGCGCACATTATTTTCTTTGGTCTTCAACCCATTTCCAGAGAGAAAACAGGGACCCGGGACAGGGGTGGTGCTGGGGGCACAAGCCCAAGGTCACCCTGCGGGGAAGCGGAGGAATCAGGGCTCGAACTTACGTTTTTCCTCAGAGAGTTCACCACACCGCGAAGTTGCTGGAAGGAAAGAACGAGACAATGGCTCAGCTAAGCGCCCTAGCCGCTGCGTGGGGCGGGGGGGGCGGCGGTGGGGACCGGGGGGCTGGGCAGCCTGGTCTGACCAATCCCCGTTTCTCAGTCCTTCCAGGGCAAAATCTCACGAGATCCAGTGAGGTCGCCCAGAGAGTCGAGAGGGGCTTGTTTTCAAAGACTGGGAGGAGGAGGGGCAGTGGGGGAGGGGCAGTGGGGGGAGGAGCAGAGGAGAAGGGAGCAGGAGGAGGGGAAAAGGGGAGAGGAAGTTGGAGAGCAGAGGAGGCTGGGGGTGGGGAGGAGATGGGGGTGGGGAAGGAGGGGAGATGGGGGTGGGGAAGGGGGGGCGGGAGGAGGGTTAGGAATGGGGGAAGGAAGACAGGGTGGGGGAGGGGTGGGCATGGGGGAAGGAAGACAGGGTGGGGGAGGGGTGGGCATGGGGAAAGGGAGACAGGGTGGGGGAGGGGTGGGCATGGGGGAAGGGAGACAGGGTGGGGGAGGGGTGGGCATGCGGGAAGGGAGACAGGGTGGGGAACCGAGAAGAAAGACAGTGGGGGGGGATGGAGGAAGGAACACAGGGTGGGGTGGGGGGTCGGGATGGGGGAAGGGAAACAAAGAGTGGTGGAGGCGTGGGGATTAGGAACGGAGACAGAGGGTGGGGGAGGGGTGGGGTGGGGGAAGGGAGACAGGGTGGGGGAGGGGTGAGGATGGCGGAAGGTAGACAAGGCGGGGGAGGGGTGGGGATGGGGGAAGGGAGACAGAAGGGGGGGAGGGGTGGGGATGGGGGAAGGGAGACAGAAGGCGGGCCAGGGCGGGAATGGGGGAAGGGAAACAGGGTGGGGGTGGGGATGAGAGAAGACAGAGGTTGGGGGAGGGGTGGGGATGTGTAAGAAAAACAAAGGGTTGGGGAGGGGGAGGGAAAAGAGGCAGAGAGTGGGGGAGGGGGTGGGGATGTGGAAAGAAAGTCAGAAGGTGGGGGGTGAGGGGTGGGGATGGGTGAATACGTGATGGCTGCGGCCTTTCCCACCAGACAGTAGGGTGGGGGCAGGGTGGAAAAAGGGGGTGCGGTGGGCGAATGGAGAGGCAGTGGGGAGGCGGGGGGCTGACTGGGAGTGTGGGACGGGGTGTTCTGGGATCACGGAGACGTCCAAGTCTGGACTCTGTCCTGGGTCTGTGCTTCTGGCGACCTCCCTTTTCTTCAGTGGGATGCGGGGTGCAGGGGCCGGTTCCAGGGTCCCCTGAGCTCAAGTTCTCGCCCCACCCCGCCCCGCAAGTCTAGAAAAGATGCCCCTGGCCTTGGCTGGGTAATCTCTGGATTTACCTACTTCTGTAACCCCCCGGGCTGAAGAGACCACCCCCCGGGATTCAATTAACTTACTCTCTGGAGCGCGCGTTCCTCCCTGCTCCCGGGAGTCGGTTTCCCAGAACTTTCTGAGGCCCGCGCATGCTCCCCTCGACTCCCCGTGTTTCCACTCTCCACAGAAATCCACGCATTCACGCCCCTCCCCTCCCCCGAGCCTGCAGAGGACTCCGCCCTGCTTTCCCTACATTCAGGGCTGCTCCTTTTGTCGCCAATACAGACCTGTTGACAGGTCACGCCTGGGAAGCGGGTGGGGTGTCCCGGAGCGGTGCTGAGGCGCTGCAGGCCCGGCTTCTGGCTGCGGGGGAGCTGTACCCTGAAGCCTCGCCGGAACTCGCGTCTGGGGCCAGCAGGGGGCACTAGAGTCAACAGGGACTGTATGCAAAACCCACTTCCTCCCAGGCCCTCTAGGGGGATGGTCAGGCTTCTGCAGAGATGGGGAGGATCCTTTCCTGGTAAGGGGAGAGGGACGGGCTAGGAGCCAAGCGGAAGGACCCCGTGTTCAAGGCCCTTCAAGGGACGGGACAGGCGAGGAATCTCTTTGAGTCTTTTGAATTGTTTTATCAGTCAGGCCTGGGAAGTACTCCGCCTCCACAAACTCTGTTTTCCTGAAAGGGGTCGGGGGGGGGGACCCCAACATCTCCTGCCACAGGCTATGATGGGCATGGTGGCTAAGAGCAACAGGCCGCGTGGTGAGGCTGGCTTTTTGTGGCTCTGCCCTGCCATTCCCCGAGGCATCCCCATGCCAGTGAACAGAGCTGCGGGTTCCCAGCTGCACAGATGAATGCACGAACAAAACATAGGTCCATGCAAAGGAAGTCATTGCATTGATCCAGATTCGACCTGGGATTGTCGCATAAAACAGGGCTGATAAAAACCGTTGTGTTTTCACCTTCGAAACAGAGACTCAGCCTCCCCCTCTCTGCTTGAGGCATTCAGCAAAGGTTCGTCCTTGAGTGGCTGTGGATGCTCAAGGACTTACGATTTCTGACTTTATAAAGTTTAGGGTGAAAACAAAAAACAAAATAAGAAGACCATTGTTTTAAAGTGGCCGTTGTAGCTAATTATCTCAAGAAAGCAAACAGGCTGGTACTGAAAGTTACACAGGCGGGCGGCTCCCTGGGAGGGTTGCCCAGCTCTCCTTTTCTGAGACCTGAGCAGGGAGCAGCCAGAGGAGCTTGAAGGGATGGTGTTCAGGGCATGGGAACAGGCTGCACACATCTTCACGGAGTACGGTGCTTGTCCAGTTTGAGAAGGGAAAGAAACTGGGGCAGAGGGCTGATGAGAAGGCAGCAGATGGATAGTGCGGGATTGAAAAGGGGATCCATTTGAAGACTGGCCACCATTATTTATTTTCATCATCTGATTGCTGTTGCTCCATTGAGATCGATGCGTGGAGAACAAGTTGGGGAGTGGAACAAATGGCAGGGAGGGGAGAGAAGTGAGTGAACATGACCCTGGTCCAGCCTCATAGGACAGAGCGTGGTCATGAAGTCCACAGAGGAGGACAGGTAGGGAGGAATCATGGCATGGCCAGGTTGTAGGGCAAGAGGCAGAGAGGAGAGAGGATTGTGGAGGATGCCTGCGGAGTGCCGACTGTCAGTCGAGGCTGGTCCTTTATTTATTTATTTTTTTTTTTGAGACGGAGTCTCGCTCTTGCCCAGGCTGGAGTGCAGTGGCGCGATCTCGGCTCACTGCAAGCTCCGCCTCCCGGGTTCATGCCATTCTCTCGCCTCAGCCTCCCAAGTAGCTGGGACTACAGGTGCCCGCTACCATGCCTGGCTAATTTTTTTGTTTTTAATAGAGACAGGGTTTCACCGTGTTAGCCAGGATGGTCTTGATCTCCTGACCTCATGATCCGCCCACCTCGGCCTCCCAAAGTGCTGGGATTGCAGGCATCAGCCACTGTGCCTGGCCAAGGCTGGTCCTTTCTTTTATGGCGATGGGTGTTTGAAAGTTGCACATACCAAAATAAACTCACTATTTGTTGACCCAAAGTAAAACCCTGAGGGTATGAAAGGGAAGGGCTCATGCTTACATGGCTGAGATAAAAGCTGTCTCAGGAAGCTGGGTGTGGTGGCTCACCCCTGTAATCCCAGCACTTTGGGAGGCCAAGGTTGGAGGATCCCCTGAGGCCAGGAATTGAAGACTAGCCTGAGTGATATAGCAAGACCCCATCTATATTTTTAAAAAGGGTTGGCTGTCTCGGGACTTTTCGAAATAGCCCTGCAAGACATTCCTGTTTTGGAATCACAACAATTTAGATAAGATGCTTTTGAAAGAACACCTGCCTAGGCACAGCGTCTCCACCAATGAACTGATGCCAACTGTGGTTTTGAGTCTTCATAACCGGTGAACTGTTTGCAAGCAGCTTATTTAAATCTCTTTTTTTGCCAATACAACCTTCCCTTTGCCCTCCCCTCTTGAGATGCATATATGGCTTGCCATAGCTGAGCATCTTAGGTTATAATGCTTTTTCTCTTTTTTAATTTTTTTTTGTAAATTTATATTTATTTTTATATTTATTTATTTTTTGAGACAGGGTCTTGCTTTGTCACCCAGGCTGGAGTGTAGTGCATAATCGTAGTTCACCACTGCCTCCAACTCTCGGGCTCAAGCAGTCCTCCCACCTCAGCCTCCTGAGTAGCTAAGACAACAGGCATGCACCACCATGCCCAGCTAATTTATGTATTTACTTTATTAAAAATTTTTTTTTTTTGGTAGAGAGAGTCTCACTGTGTTTCCCAGGCTGGGCTTGAACTCCAGGCCTCAAGTGTTGCTCCCAACTCGACTTCCCAAAGTGCTGGGATTACAGGCATGAGCCACCATGCCCAGCGTATAATTTTGTATTCTAATTCCTGAATAAATTCAACAAATTTGGAGGTGTTTTTTGTCTGATGGTTCCTTTTGGTCGACAACTGGAATGGGAGAGGAACAGTGTGAGGGCAAACATCAAGTGCTTTGCTGAGCTCCGGGTGCTTTTTTTGGATAAGACACAGAAAATACAATAAGATGTCTGTAATGTTTGATTTTTTTCCAGGTTTCTTGAGGTATAATTGACAAATAAAAATTGTATGGATTCAAGGTGTACAATTCATATACATTGATCCACATATACCTTGTTTGATGATTAATCAAATTAGTTAACACATCTTTCACCCCAGCAGTCAATGTGTGTGTGCTCTGTTAGCAAATTTCAATTAATAATATAGCATTATTAACTATAGTTACTATGCTGTATATTAGAGTCTCAGGATTTACCATCTTATAACTAAAATTTTGTAGCCTTTGACCAACATCTCTCATTCCTCCCACCCACAGCCCCTGGGAACTACCATTCTACTCTGCCTCTATGAGTTCCACTTTTTGTGTTTCTTTTTTCCCTTTCCTTTAATTTTTTTTGTATTTGTTATATTACCAAACCATGTCAAAAGAGTTCCACTTTTTAGATTCCACATATTATTAGCTCGTACAGTATTTGTCTTTCTGCATCTGGCTTATTTCACTTAACATAATTTCCTCCAGGTTCATTCGTATTGTTGCAAATGGCAAGATTCCCTTCTTTTTTATGACTGATGATGTCTGTCTGCAATATTTGAAAAAAAAATGCAGATCACGTGAATGATTGTCTAATGTAATTCTATTCATGTAAAATTGTGTATGACCATAACAGTCACTCATTCATTGCTTCGAGTTCTTTACAATCGGATGCCATATTCCTGGGGCTCTGCTAGGCCTGAAATGGGGAGTAGGAGTTACAAGGTTCCTGGGATATCAGTAATTCATATTTGTGAATGTCTTAGATAAGTGGGCTAACATGTACAGAAAATGGTCACTAAAATGATAACACTGTTTGTTATAAAATACTTTTCTGTATTCTCTTGAACTTTTTTTTTTTATCATTTATTAGACTGCTTCAGCTGCCATAACAAAATATCACAGACTGGATGGATTAAACAACAAAAATTTATTTCTCACAGTTCTGGAGGCTGGGAAGTCCAAGATCAAGGTGTCAGCAAGGTGGGTGTCATTCTGAGGCATCTTCTCTTAGCTTATAGGCTGAGGCCATTTTGCGTTGTGCTCACGTGACCCCTTTGTGCGCATGTGTGGAGAGAGAGCATGGGTGCTTCTTCTTATAAGGATGCTGAAAGTTATGAGAACCCGACCCTTGTGACTTCACTTAATCTTAATTACTTCCTTAGAGGCCCCATCTCCATATACAGCCACAATGGGGATTAGGGCTTCAACATATGAATTTGTGGTGGGGGGACGCAAACACTCAGTTCATAAACATATGATTTTTTTTTCCTTGATCGGCAATGAAAATAGAGGTATCTTCATTTTGGAAAGTGAGAGTCAACCTGTGCTGAATTAGAGTGATGACAAGAGATACTTTAAGACTGCAATGAGGGAAGCAAGGGACGGGGACGCATTTGACAGTCTGTTCTGCTCTGCTCCTGGAAGTGAGAGAGGCTGAGTCGGGACTAACCTTTGCACGGATGAGATAGAGAACTGAGAGAGAAAAGTATGTATTTTTCTATGACCACCTAAAATAAACCTGGAGTTGAAGGGACCAGCACTCTCAACCTAACCATTCTGGGAATAAAAATCATAGAGACCTCGCTGATTAATGGAAACAATTTGCCTTTCGATTTTCTAAGCAGGTGAATGCAAGGAGTTTGTGAACTTTACTGCTGTTTTCGTGTTTTTTTAGGTGAAGACACTGACAGTAAGAAAAGGCAAACCACAGGTCCAAGACAAAGTGGTCAAGTCAAGAAGGAACTCAGGCTGTGTAGTCCTGGTGCAAGGCTCCTTGCCCCCAGCGTGGGGTCACACTGGCTGGCTGTGCTCCCACGACACTTAGTGCATACTGGGCTCCTGACTTAATAACACGTGTTTGAAATGGCCCCTGATTCCCAATCTGCTGCAGGATTCTGCAGATGCGCAACAGGCCACAGTGGAAGGTCTTGGAGAGAATTCAGAGTGGCTTGCCTACGTTCCCATGACCGTTTGTCTTAATGGGAGAATCACCATTTTGGAAAATTCTTTTGGAGGCCAGGCGCGGTGGCTCATGCCTGTAATTTCAGCACTTTGGGAGGCTGAGGCAGGCAGATCACCTGAGGTCAGAAGTTCGAGACCAGCCTGGGCAACATAGTGAAACCCCATCTCTACTAAAAATACAAAACTTAGCCTGGCATGGTGGTGCACACCTGTAGTCCCAGCTACCCGGGAGGCTGAGGCAAGAGAATCGCTTGAACCTGGGAGGCAGAGATTGCAGTGAGCCAAGATTGCACCACTGCACTCCAGTCTGGGCAACAGAGTGAGACTCTGTCTTAAAAAAAAATTCTTTTGGGGCTAGCTGTGAATGAGCTCAGAGGGAAAGGCAGGAGCCTTCAGGTAGGGAGCAGCATGATTCCACCCCAGATTCAGGCCTCCTGGGTGTACAGAGGGCAGGAGGATCCTCCCCAGGTATGTGAGAGGAAGGGAAGATGAGGTGTTTGGGTCAGTGAACACACTAGAAATCCAGGTGCTCACTGATGGATTGTGCTTGGCATCTCTGTTCTGCCAATCCAGCCTCAAAGCAACTTTGGAAGAGGATTTATGCGCTTCACACGCTTCCAGCTTGGGCCAGAGCATCTGCACACTCCCCTGGGTATAGGCCTCCAGGGCTTGGAGCAACGGAAGAGCTAAGAATTGTCAGTGCTCAGGAGGCAGATTTTCAGGGAGGATCCTCTTGCATCTCAGGACATGGAAAGGGCTAACAGAGCCTTAAGTGTCCTGTCCCAGTGCTGGGGTCTCAGAAGGCAGCTCTGGGGCATCTCCACCATGGTCTGACTTCTGCTGCTTGAAACCATTCTCCCTCACGGCACAGGCAAGAGTCCTCAAGGAAGAGCACCTGGGCACCTGGGTTGACTCTTCCTCTCTCCAGGTGGAGAGAACCAGTAGAGTTTACCTGGGGTCATGCTCTGAGTTAATCCCCCTCTGCATTTCTTTCTCTTCTCAGGGGCCTGGGCTCAGCCTTGACTCAGCCTTCCTCAGTGTCTGGGACTTGGGGTAAACAGTCACCATCTTCTGCACTGGAAGCAGCAGTGACATTGAGGGTTCTAACCATATCTCTTCGTACCTACAGTGCCCAGGAACTGGCCCCACACTCCTCATTTATTATGTCCATTCTCAACCCTTAGGGGGTCCCAGCTTGATTTTCAGTCTCTAGGTCTGGCAACACGGCCTTCCTGGCCGTCTTTGGCCTCTAGCCTGAAGATGGGCCTGACAGTCACTGTTTGTTCTGGGACAACCATAGCATTTTTACCCACATGTGCTCCAAGTCCACGGGGAACAGAGACCAAATCTGCCATGAGTGACCAGTGTCACAGGGCTTCACACCAGTCAGGCAGTCAGATGGTGGTGTTTGCTTTCATTTCTGCTCATCATCCCAAGGGGGTGGACGCTTCAGGAATGGGACCCTATGCAACTCTCATTGCTCTTTATAATGATGTGGGAAAGAGAAACCATCTCCCAGGGGACTTGGCTTTGCAAAAATGAAAATAAAAGCTCCCTCCTCCCTCTGTGCAGTGAATGGCCTCTGAATGCAGACTTGGTCTCCCTCTTCAGTGGCAAGGTTGGAGGAAGAACAACAGCTTCTTATTGCACTGAGACAACTCAGGGGCCACCTCATTTGAAGATGTGCATCAGTGTGAGCCCAGGTATTCCTGTACTCAATGATCGAGGTCTCTCTCCTTACCTTGTCTCCACCTGGATCTGACCAAAGTGACTGAGATGATCCAGGTTCTAGTTTTCTCTTGCTGTGTAACAAATTTCTGCAAACCTAGCACCTTAAAATAACACCCATTTATGATCTCCCAGTTTTCCTGGATCAGGAGTCTGGGATCAGCTTAGCTGAGTCATCTGTTCAGGGTCTTCCCAACCTGAAATCAGGGCATTGGCTTGGCTGTGTTTTCATCTGGAGGCTCAACTGAGGAAGATTCTGTTTCCAAACTTACTGGCAGAACTCACTTCCTTGCTGCTATATGACTGAAGCCAAGGTTTTGGGGGGCTATTTGCTGTCAGTGCCCGAAGCTCCTAGAGTTCCTAGAGGTCACCCATAGCTCTTTTGCCATTTAATGTAACCTAATGAAAAGAGAGATATTCCATCACCTTTGCCATATTTATTGGTTAGAAGCAAATCACAGGTTCTTCTTGAATTCAAGTGAAGAGATTGTGCAAGGGTATGACTCATTTGGGGTCACCATAGGGTACATCCTCAGTAATTGTGTGCAGTCAGGACTAGGGGAGGAGATTCTAATTATACAGAGAAGACTTGTGCCTTCTATTCAGAAGTTAAGAAGACATCCTTTACTTTTTAAGACACTCTGTCATTTTATTCATTGATTTTTAGTGGTGTTCTAGAAAGCAGATTTTCCAAGCGTAAAGCACAATAATGAAATGGCAGAGCTGATGACAGTTCAGATGCTATTAGATGGGTGTGCAGATCTAGGTTTAGAGCCAAGGGATGGAGTAGTGTCTCTTGGTCTCCACTGTGGAGAGGCCCCTTGGGAAAACCCACCACCCCCATTTCTCCTCACTCCCTGCCTGGACCCATGGTCTCTGCTTGGTCTGGCCTATGCTATTAAAAATATACTTCAATGATGATACTTATGTCTTGTGTTTCTCTACACTCTTTGTCTATTTGCAGTGGACAGCACACTGCATGCTGATATCAAAAATTATTCCAGCAAATTCAAAAATAAGACAGTAAAAAGAAATAAAAGACAGTTTTACAATGGAAGAGACAGAAATGAATAGTTGCACTTATGGTTGATTTAGCTGTTAAATCTAAGAGAACCAACTGCGAATGAGTAGAGAAAGCGGTCGTTGCTGCATACTGACCATTACTAGTGTGAGATACTGGGGGAGCTAGGATGGCCTCCTCTTCCTCTTCCTTCTCTTGCCTCTCCTCTTCTTTCTTTTTTGGTAAATATCTTTCCTAGATCAGCGGTTCTCAAAACTTTCGGTCTCATGACCTAATCACCTCCCAGAGGCCCTACCTCCAAATACCATCACATTAGGGGTTAGGTTTCAACATATGAATTTTGGGGGGACACGAATATTTAGTCTAGAATGCTTTTTCAAGAAAAGGAGGACAGAAAGATCATACTACAGTGGCTTTTAAAAATTAGATATGGACAGCTTTTGTTTCTGGAATATGTCAGTGTGCTGTTGTGCAAAGCATCCTGGGAACAACACCTCAGAATGTTTCCTTTCTGTGCCTCAGTAAGACTTGAAGGCTGGTAGGGTAGCCTGAGTCGTGGCTTTCAATGATATTCAGGTCCTAATTCCTGGGACTTGTGAATACTGCCTGTCTTTGTCCGTTTTGCATTGCTGTAAAGGAATAACCGAGTCTGGGTTATTTATAAAGAAAAGAGTTTTATTTGGCTCAGGGTTCTGCAGACTGTACAAGAAGCATGGTGCCCACATCTGTTTCTGGTAAGGACCTCAGAAAGCTTTCAATCTTGGTGGAAGGGGGAGGAGGCATCACATGGCAAAAGGCAGAACAAGAGGGAGAGGAGAGGTGCCACATTCTTTTAAACAACCAGCTCTCTCATGAATGAACTCACTGATCTCCACAGGGAGGGCACCAAGCTATTCACGAGGGATTTGCCCCCATGACCCCAAAACTTCCCACCTTCTTTTTCTTTTTCTTTTTTTTCTTTTCTTTTTTTTTTTGGAGTCTCGCTCTGTCACCCAGGCTGGAGTGCAGTGGCGTGATCTCAGCTCACTGCAAGCTCCACCTTCCCGGTTCACGCCATTCTCCCACCTCCCTAGTAGCTGGGACTACAGGCACCCGCCACCACACCCGGCTAATTTTGTTTTTGTATTTTTAGTAGAGACGGGGTTTCACCGTGTTAGCCAGGATCATTCTTTTTCTTTTTCTTAACCTCTGGGAGCACAGAACATAACATAGGATTTGGAGGGGACAAATATCCAAGCTATATCATTACTTTATATGAGAAAAGGGGTTTTGCAGATGTAATTAAGGATCTTGAGGGAGACATTATACTGGATTATGCAATGGGCCCTAAATGTAGTCACAGATGTCCTTTCGAGAGGGAGGCAGGGGGAGATTTGAGGACAGAAAAGGAGACATGAACAGCGGTGGGATGATGCAGCTACAAGCCAAGCAATGCCAGCAGTATCTAGCAGCTGGAAGAGTCAAGGAAACAGATTCTCCCCTGGGACCTCCAGAAGGAACCAGTCCTGCTGATAATTTTATTTCAGTTCTGTAAGCCTTCTTTTGGATTTTAGATTCTCAGAACTGCAAGAAAATAAATTGCTGTTATTCTAAGCCCCTAAGTTTTTGACAACTTGTTGTAGCAACAATGGGAATCTGATATAGCTAAGGTACCATACATTTTGACATCTTCTCTATATATGGTACCATTCTGATTTGTACTGTGCAAGGCTTCCTTGCCCTCTCACTGGTAAACCTTGGTATGCAGGAAATTATTTTTGTACATTCTCCAGTATATTAACTTTGGTTATAGGTGATACATTATATCTATTGCAAATTATCATTTTGTCTCCTAATTTGCATCAACCATGCTGCTTGTGTCTATTTATGACTGATTGTGTAGGAAAATTCTTCAAGAAAAAATCAAATAGGATGGTAATTCCTGCATCTTGGAATGCCTAAAAATCTTCTGGCAATAACTGATTACATAGAGAAACCATCTGTTTACTTCCTTCAGGAACTACCTGGCACCTTCTAGTGCTTTCCCTTGTGGACCACAGGTGATGGAGGCTGGGCCCTAATCCAGCACACACCTCCAGTCTAGCGGGCTTCTGGTCCAGTTATTTACCTACAGGTATTTTATTGATGTTATTCTTCCTCTGATGACACGCTGATTTCAAAACATGCCTAAAACCAAAGACACAGGATCTTTGAAGTCCCTTCCCTCAAATATCTGAGGCTTTTCCCCAATTGAGCAGCAGTTCACATGCTTGTAAGTTTTAAATGTGTTAGGCATTTTACTGGAAATGCTTTATATGCTTCACACTCCACAGGACTTCTTATTCCCAGCTCATTGATTGAGGAAAGTGAAATCTGCCATTTGCTGATGGGCCAATGTCAAGGCCAATGTCCCAGATCCCCTGTCAGGACAAAAGTGTGATGCAGCCAGAAGTCAGCCCTCACCTGCAAATGCTCTCCTGAACTTGCCTACCCTGGAGGGATCTGCTCACCAGGCAGATTCCAGGCGATGCCCAAAGCACTCCCTAATAAAACTCTGTGTGCTCATCTCCGCCTTAACTTCTGTTTCCAGGAGACCCAGCTTGTGACCATTGTTTCCAGGAAGATTACCAATTGTCTCTGTTTGCCCTGGACCGAAGGTTTTCCCAGGACATAGATCTTTCAGTGCTAAAACAGGACAGTCCTGAGTTATCTTAGGACCAGGAATGTCTATGAAAGGAGACACTTGAGAGATGGGATTCTGGAGCCATGGAGACCCCAATATGGGGGAGTTGGAGGTAGGGGCGCGAGGGTAGATGCGCATATAGCCCCTACCATGGTGGAGCAATGCAGTGTGTAAACTTTTTACCAGTGGTGAATAGGGATGATTTACCTATAGGAGGAAATGAAAAAGCAGGACCATGAGTCAGACATTTGAGAGACGTGAAGAAAACAGAACATTAAAGGAACCAATTCCACAGCTTTCTCTGTTGGAACAGTGTGGTAGCACTGATACTAAGTGTGATTGATGATTTGCAACAGATAAAATGCTGGAATGATTAATTAGCAATGAAAAACTAGAAGATGTGGGGCAACAAGGCTCCAGCTCCATCCTCTTAGGGTACCAGCTGGGCTCAAGAATTGACATAAAACAGATTCGCAGGAGACAAAACATACAAATTTACTTAATACAAGTTTCACATGGCACAGGAGCCCTCACAAGGAAATGAAGACCCAAAGAAGCAGTTAGAGTCAGTTACTTATATAAGGAATTGGTCAAAGAATAGTCAGTTGTGAAGAAACGACTAAAATATGTGGGGAAAAAAGCCCCAGAATCTGGTGTATCCAAATAGGACTCCACTCTGATGACAGGTTTCTTGGGCTGAGATTCCTTTGAGCCCCATCCAACTTCTTCCCAGCTGCTGAGAAGAGAAAATCTTTTAGAGGCTTCCTGGAATTTTCCCAGTCCACACTGATTTTGCTTAAAAGATAAAAGTTATTATAATAAGGTCTGTTCAGCAGTATCTCAGTTTTGACTTCTCATCCCTGAGGATAAGAATGTTGCTTTTCCTTCTAGCATAGGGAGGGACAGGGTTTTTCACATGGGACTTTTGTCTTCTGCTTTTAAGAAACAGAAAACAGCAGAATGATCTTTTTGCAACTGGTGTTTTCAAGTGCCTTTTACTTAAATAGTCAATTTGCTAGACCGGTACTTTTTTATTTCTTTTCTTTTTTTTTTTATTATACTTTAAGTTTTAGGGTACATGTGCACAACATGCAGGTTAGTTACATATGTATACATGTGCCATGTTGGTGTGCTGCACCCATCAACTCGTCATTTAACACCAGGTATATCTCCTAATGCTATCCCTCCCCCCTCCCCCCACAACAGGCCCCGGTGTGTGATGTTCCCCCACTGTGTCCATGTGTTCTCATTGTTCAATTCCCACCTATGAGTGAGAACATGCGGTGTTTGGTTTTTCGTCCTTGTGACAGTTTGCTGAGAATGATGGTTTCCAGCTTCATCCATGTCCCTACAAAGGACATGAACTCATCAATTTTTATGGCTGCATAGTGTTCCATGGTGTATATGTGCCACATTTTGTTAATCCATAGACTGGTACATTTTTAACTCCATCAGAGCGCAAGCCAAAAAGCTTCCTCCTGGGCTGAAAAAAAAAGCTTCCCCCTGGGCTGAAAAAAAGCTTCATCTTGGGCTGGAAAAGCTTTTTGGCTTGCACTCTTCCTCTGGGCCTGAGCCTTCCCTGCCCTCTCATCTGCTTGGACAGAGGGCAGGGAAGACTGAAGCCCAGAACTTAATCCTAAGTGTAGCAGACCATCGGGACCCTGACAGGGTAACAGTGGGGTACTGAGTCACGGGACGAGGCCATCTGGATTCACGCACCTGAAAATCTTGATGTCCTTGAATTTTCCAAACCTGCAGAAGTGGCCCTCCCTTACTCATTGAAACCCATGTCTCCCTTCCTTTTGCCTGAAGATGATGCAGAGACCTCTGACCTGTGAGATTGTATCCACCACCACAAGTGTCCCCAGAAATCTGCCACCACCTCCTATTAAGACCAATGGACCAATAACTAGAATTGAGTCCCAAAGAAACCTGGCAAGGAATGTGATAGACCTGCTGCAGAACTAAGGAGCTCCAGAACCAGCCAACACGTGCAGTGGGCCCCAGGCGAGTGTGTATGGGGCTGGATTCTGAGGGTGTAAGATCAAAGTGCAAAACCTAAGATTGGATTGGGGAGGGTTTATCTGCTGGAAGCACTCTCCTGGGACGCAGGCTTTAACCCCCTAGCAAAGACATTGAGGCATTCCGCAAGCCCGCCGCAAGGATTGCCCTTAGGAGGACAGAGAAAGCAATGGTCCGTACCAAGCAAGGTCATAATGCCAGATGTGCTGTGGCAGATGGTGGGAGAGGAATCAAAAGGTCCTGGGAGGCCAGGTGTGGTGGCTTATGCCTGTAATCCCGGCACCTTGGGAGGCCACTGTGGGAGAATGGCTTGAGGCTAGGAGATCAAGACCAGCCTGGGCAATATAGTGAGACCCTGTCTGTACAAAAGATTAAAAAAAATTAGTCAGGCATGGTGGCACACTCCTGTAGTCCCAGCTACTAGGGAGTCTGAGGTAGGAGGATTGCTTCAGCCTGGGGAGTTTAAGACTGTAGCCAGCTGTTCCAGCCTGGGCGACAGAGTGAGACCCTGAAAAAAAGAAAGAGAGAGAGAGAGAGAAAGAAAGAGAGAGATGGAGAGAAAGAAAGGAAGGAAGGGGAAGGGAAGGGAGGAAGGGAAGGAAGGAGAGAAAGAAAAAAGAAAAGAAAGAAAGAGAGAGGGAGAAAGAAAGGAAGGAAGGGAGAGAGAGAGGGAAAGAAGGAAAGAAAAGAAAAGAAAGAAAGAGAGAGAGAGAGAGAAGGGTTCTGAGAGTGCTTAGCTGGAAAGGCAATACCAGGTACTCATGGACATCTCCCCAAGTGAGAGAATTCTCAGGAGGGCCTGGGGACTGCAGTCTGTAATTGATTGATAAGCGGTGCACTGGTGAGAGAAATCCAGCATCCTTGAGAAACTCAGTGGGTAGTTCTCTAGACCAGGCCAGCAGGGGAAGCTGGTAAGGAAGTTGATAGCAATACGGATGGAAGGACCATGCAGTGATAGTGTCACATTGTCAGGGCTTAAGCATAGGAGCCAGGTGTGTGGCAAAAGATGAAGTGGCAGCAAGGCACCTGACATTGAATGATGGAGTCAGTCAGTATAGCATGGCACCTCTCGGGGCAAGATGCATAAGCCACCAAGAAAGGGACAGCTTCTAATCTTTTTAGCTTATTTTTTATTTTTTTGTTGAGATGGGGGGGTCTCACTAGGTTATCCAGAGTAGTCTCGAACTCCTGGCCTCAAGTGATCCTCCTGCCTCAGCCTCCCAAATTGCTGGGATTACAGGTATGAGCCATAGCTTCCGGCCTAGCTTTTAATCTATATTTTCAGAGGGAAGTAAGGAAGAAGGGTCAAACCCCATTAACAAGTTTCTGAAAGAGCCTAACTTGCAATGTCTAGTCATTCCAGAGTAGGATATTTACCCCAAGGATTAATTCACTGTAGTTGCTGTGATAAATGACCAAACCATAAACTGAGTGACTAAAAACAAAGACCTCTAAATGATTACACCTGGTATCTTTGGAGGAGCCATTCAATCTACTATACGCTGCTTCCAAGTCCTTGTAGAAAAACATACGGAAATCATGCATCATCCCATGGGTGGAAGACCTCGCTCCAGGTTAGTGAACTGCTCTGATTTGTGACTCCAAAGATGGACATTGGTGACAGCAAAAGGAGGACCCAGAATCTCGTGTATTCAAACAGAACTCCACTCTCATGAGAGGTCCTTGGATCTAGACCCTTGGGTCAAGCTTCCTCTGAGCATTGTCCAACATCTTCCCACTTGCTGAGAAGGAAGATTCTTTATGTGGGCCCTGGAATAGCCTCAGTCCAGCCTGATCTCTCTCTCTTCCCTCCTGAAGTTTTATTTCAAACATTTTGAGACTCTAAAAGGGTTTCTTTGTCTCATTTCTCTCCTCCAGTCCTACTACCAGGGTTGTCTTCAATTTATATCCAATGTTTCTCTGGCCTGGAACTGAGACCTACCTCCCAAGCAGCGACCCGACCCGTGGAGTGGGGTCCCTGGGGCAAGCGAATGGCCCTTTGCCTGGAGAACCTGGGCCAGCAGTCATGGCAGGTGACACATTCCATTCTGGGGCGAGGAACCAGGGAGGGAGCACTGCATAGATCAGAAGGGTAAACAAGGGGAGGGAGAAGGAGCAAACTTAGATTTGGGAGGGAAAGAGGGAAGGGTGCAGAGGAAGCAGAACACGGATGACTGGGCCTCCTTCAGTTGTTCTTGTGACTAGACCCTCCCATCTAAGCCACCAGGGGACAGGAAGGGTATGAGTTTGAGGACTCTAATGGCCCCAAGGTACTACTGCGGTTTATCCTACTTGTAGGCGGTCCCAAGAGCTTTGTTCTCTCCAGGGACTCCAAAGGGGATGAACTTGCAAGTCTTTTGTCTCCACTCAGTGCCTTCTCTGATTAGGCCAATAAACATCCCCAGGCCTCAGTCTCAGGCCACTGTAGGGGCTGAGGACAGTGAGAAAGATGTGTGAGCATCCACCCTTTGGAGAGGTTGAGTAGGAATGAGAGGTCCCCTGCCTTGCCTTTGGTCCTTGTGAAGGAAGATGTTGGATATTTCCCAGCTTGGCTGGAATCCGTTCCTCACCCTCCCCATTCAGAGCAGGGATGAGTAAGTCCTCCGCTTTCTCCGCAACCACAATTGTGTTTTTCAGGAAAGGATAAAGTGGGAAAGATCAGATCCCATGCCTCTTCCTCCTCTAAGTCATGGGATGACTGCAGAGAGTGAGCAAGAGGGTAAAAACAGTGCACTGAGTGTGACGTTTGCTAAAGGAACAGATAATTGCATCAAAACCTATTTCTAGCAGAGTTGTGGTGCTTGCCTATAATCCCAGCTACTAAGGAGGCTGAGGCTGGAGGATTGTGAGGCCGGGAGCTCAAGACCAGCATGGGTAGCATAGTGAGAGCTCATCTCTAAAAAACAAAACAAAAAACCACACTTATTTCTAATTGTCTAATTGGTATCCACAATCAGACCTTTCTGGGAAGTTTTTTTTCTAACATGCCTAAATGTGGCTTGGAGACTGTTTGGGTGAGGCCAATAGCTTAGCCTTCCTACTTAAGTTGTCTCCTTCATTCATTCAACAAGCAGGTATTATTGAGTGGATTGTTGGGTGCATTTGTGTGTCCTCAGTAGGATGCAGGCATGCAACACATGAAGATATGATAATTCCAGTCAGAGGAATGGCCTGTGCAAAGGCCCTGAGGTAGAGAGAAACTTGATAATTGAAAGAACAGAAAGAAATCCAGTGGGACTGGGGAAAGAGAGGAAGGAGATGAGAGGGGACTTACAGGCAGCCAACAGATCATGTGCAGACAGATCACTTGAAAGCAGAGGCAAATGGCTGGATGTTTTTGTTAATGAAAAGAGAATTTATTTGAAGATCTTCCATCATTTTTACATGAAGTGATTGATGTGTTAAATGAATGAAATTTAACATTCATGGTGTATGAAATTTATGGAAGAAAAATTGAAGCAGGCAGAGCATTTTATGGCCTTTGGGCACAAGAGAGTGAAGCTTGTCCCATGTAGAGTCATGGAGAGTGACTGGGAGATTCACCATTAGAGTTGGCAGATTGGCTCTTGGATTGAATATGGGGCATGAAGCAAAGAGTTGTTGACTCCTGGAAGTTTGACTTTGTCAATGGCGTGGCTACTACTTTCTTTTATTAAGAGAGAGACAGATGGGAGAGCAACAGGTTTGAGGGAAACACATAAAGTGCTTTGTTTGGACTCATGGGGATTTTTTGGAGAAGACAGACAAGATACAAGTAACAAGATCATGATGTCTGTAATATTTGGGTACAAAATGCAATTCATAAACCTGATTGTATAATATGATCCTATTTATGTAAAATCATATATATTTAGTTACCTTGATTCAATTTATACATCACTAATTGTTTCCAGTAATATTAACCAAAGGTCTACTATATGCCAAATAACCTTTTATGGCTAGAGATAGAAAAATGAACAAAACTTACTATGTTCATCCTTATGGAAGATACATAATTCATATTTGTAAACATCACATTTAAGTATGGCAAGAAATCTGGTGGGATGGTTCCTAAAATGAAACAATAGTTTCATAGGTTTGTGAGAATTTAGGTGATATTTCTACTTAACTTTCATGTACACTAAAAATTTTTCCTATAACTCAAAAAAATTTTTTGGAGGCAGATTAGCAAGATATTTATTTTGGAAAAGCAAGAGTCAATCTGAATTGAACTGGAGGGATGCTGAGAGTTCTAGAACTTCATAGAGAGAAAGAAAACTGAGTTATTGGGTGGGGGTTACACCTATCTTTTTGTCTTTTCTTTTCTTTCTTTCTTTTTTTTGAGATAGGGTCTCCCTCTCTCACTCAGGCTGAAGTGCAGTGGTATGATCTTGGCTCACTGCAACCTCTGCCTCCCTAGTAGCTGGGACCACCACAGGCATGCACCACCATGTCCGGCTAATTTTTAAAATTTTTTTGGTAGAGACAGAGTTTTGCCATGTTGCCCAGGCTGGTCTCAGACTCCTGGACTCAAGAGATCCGCCCACCTTGGCCTCCCAAAGTGCTGGGATTACAGGCGTGAACCACTGCGTTGGGCCGCTTATCACTTTAATGTCTAATGAGAGGCCCCTGGAGCTGGAACCCTTAGCCCCAGCCTGACCCCTGACCCTTCTCCCATGTCCTCAAATTCAAAAACTCACCTCTGGCTGTCCATTCAGTTGTTCTCAAGTCTGACTGTGCTCTTTGTCCTTCATGAACTAGAACTAGTCTTTCTTTCAAACCATTTTGATAAGCTGATCAATGTCTCCTCATACCATTTTTCTCATTCAGCCTTCCTCCTGGGGTTGGTTTTATTTACCATCTAACAATATTTCTGTAACCCTGAGCCTCTAGAGCTGCCTCAGGTGCACTAACGCTGTGACTAGGCTGCCCTGGGACAAGCTAAGAGGTTCTGCGGGGGAGGGTCTGGGCCCCTGGTGTGGCAGAAGGTGCATCCATCCTGGAGGAAGCCAGAGGACCAAGGGCCAGGAGCCTGGGGGGGATTAGAAGGGACCAGGAGGCCTGGTCCTGAGCTGGGATGGGAAGGAACGGGAAGGGGCAGGAGCAGGACAGGGATTTCCAGATCCACTCAGCCGCCTCCCTGGGGCTTGGGCTCCTCCATCTGAGGCCACCAGGGGGCGGCAAGGGCTTGGATTTGGGGAAGGGAATTGCTGTGGTTTAACCAGGGAGTGTATGAAGCTCCATGGGCTGCTTCCTCCTGAGACCCTTCTAAGGGAGAAGTGGGGAGTGGAATGTCCAAAATATGTTGTGTCCCAATATGTTCGTTTCTAGAAAGGCTAATAAATAGCCTCAGCCCCCAGCCTCAGAGCACTGCATAGAAAGAGGACAGAGGTATTTGAGGGTCATTCTGAGAGAACCTAGAAGGTATTGAGTGGGAATAAACAGTCCCCAGCTCTGCCTTTGGTCCCTGGGAAACAGAGTGCCTGGATCACTCCACAGTGGTCATCTGGGATCTGGTCCGAGGTCTCTTCCTTGATTCTGTTCCCTGAGCCTTTTTTATTCTATTTTGGATCAGATCCATGCACACGTAGCTCAGAGTTGTGCCCAAGATTTCATAAGGAATTTACAGGGTTTTTTCCCCCTCAAACTTATTTCTCTCCACAGTCTGCCCATTATTTATGGTTCCCCAGACTTTCCCTTTTGGTTTCTGGTGAAAAAACTGTGACTTTAATAAGCCTGCGGTGCTGTGCACTTCCTGCAACTGAGTCCGTGTCCACACCAAACACCAAGAGGACAAAGAGTAACAAAGGTAAGGGGATTAAGTGCCACTGTCTTGGAAATCAGCTCCAAAGATGAGAAAAGAAAGTCCGCACAGTCTCTACTGTCCCTGCTGTCACCACGAAGAATTTCCTGGAGGCTGGATCATGTAGAATGGAGAGAAGAACAAACATAAGAAAAGGAAAACGTGGACATTTCAAATTTGCCCTGAGCACTAGGGGTTTCCTTTCTCATCTTCAAGCCAGAACAGTGGAGCTTCTTCTGGAACTTTTGTGGCTGCACACTGGTACCCCTTCCAGGTATTGGTCTGCCCTGAGTGCAGGCCACAGGACACTGGGGGAAAATGGGAAGCTCTCTGCTGGTTTGATTTTACTAAAAGTGCTAGTATCTCCCCTAGTCTGCCTCCAGTGATTTGCTTTTCCAAGTAATCAAATTGATGCTCCATGGATTCTGTCCCAGGTTTTACAGCTGGGCTTGGAGAAAATGTGGTATATGCCACTGCATCCGAAATGGAACCTGAAAACAGTAATAATATTCTAAACGTGAAAATTAAATCAATCTGAATCACAGGCAGTGGAAAACATCAAAAGATGAAAGAGTTTTAAAAGTGATTTGAGGAAAGAAACAGAGAGAAATATTTTCACATTGGTTCTATGTTTACTCTATTTATCTTTTTTAATTTAATTTTAAAAATAGAGATGAGGAGGTCTCACTATGTTGCCCAGCCAGGCTGGTCTCGAACTCCTGGGCTCAAGCAATTCACCCGCCTCAGCCTCCCAAGGTGATGGATTACAGGCATGAGCCACCACACCCGGCCCCTGTGTTTCTTATGTGCTCCTTGATTAAGAAGAGTTGTTTTTTGTTTTTGTTTTTGTTTTTTGTTTTCTTGAGATGGAGTTTCACTTTTGTTGCCCAGGCTGGAGTGCAATGGTGCAATCTCGGCTCACTACAACCACTGCCTCCCAGGTTCAAGCGATTCTCCTGCCTCAGCCTCCCAAGTAGCTGGATTACAGGCGTGCACCACTACACCAGCTAATTTTTTGTATTCAGTAGAGACGGGGTTTCACCATCTTGGTCAGGCTGGTCTGAAACTCTTGACTTCAGGTGATCCACCTACCTCGGCCTCCCAAAGTGCTGTGATTACAGGGGTGAGCCACCATGCCCGGCCAAAAAGTTGGTTTATTGTAGCTTGTGGATACAGTGAGATGGAAGAAAACCCAGAAAGCAGAAATAACACTTCTTTGTAATATGAGGAAAAAAATAAAAGATAAAGTTGAATGAAATATTTCATATATATATGTTTCATATACATGTTTCTTATATATGTTTCATATACATGTTTCATATATATGTTTCATATACATTTCATATATATGTTTCATATACATTTCATATATATGTTTCATATATATATTGCAACATATATATGCAATATTCATATATATAGCCATATATATGTTTCATATATATATTGCATATATATGTTTCATATATATTGCATATATATGTTTCATATATGTTTCATACATATGTTTCATATATATATAGTTTTTTACAGAGTCTTGCTCTCTTGCTCTGTCACCCAGGCTGGAGTGCAGTGGCCTAATCTTGGCTCACTGCAACCTCTGCCTCCCGGGTTCCAGTGATTCTCCTGCCTCAGTCTCCCGAGTAGCTGGGATTACAGGAACGCACCACCATGCCTGGCTAATTTTTGTATTTTTAGTAAAAGTGGAGTTTTGCCATGTTGGCCAGTCTGGTCTTGAACTCCTGCCCTCAAGCGATCCTCCTGCCTCAGTCTCCCAAACTGCTGGGATAACAGGCGTGAGCTATCACGCTCGGTCTGAAATCTTTAGATAAGTATGAAGTCTATATAAAAAAAAAAGGCTCTTACTAGGCTAGAAATGGCCCATTTTAGAAGCTTTCATTTTCCACCTCACACTCATCTCTCTATAGATCCTCTGCATGGGCAGTGGGTGGGCCCTGTGGTCCTCAGTTCTCAGGCTGAGAACCAGAGGCTGAAAAGGACAAGTCACCTGCTCATGAGTGGGAAGGGCAGGATTGGGAGCAGCGGACTGTGGCTCCATTGCTCCTTGTTTCCTCCACAGGCCCCTCCCACGTGTGCCCCTGAATGACCTAGAATGACTAATGTGCTCAAGGGATTTGATGCTGCAGATGCTTCGGCATGAAGGGTGGGGGTGGGGATGGGACAAGGCTGCAGCTGAAGAGATGGGAGACCAACAACACACAGCAGGGGTTTCCATGGGGTGGGCACCCCCATTTCCTCACAGTTTAGAGAGCCTGGAGGTGGGTGCCAAGCAGAGGGCACCATGGCGTGGCCCAGGCCTGGAGGTTCACAGAGACACAGGCACAACACAGCAGAGACACTGAGGGCCAGGAGCTCACTCAGATGAGGGACTTCAGCAGATCTTTCTCTCTTGAGGAAATTAGGTACAAAGGAATCAAGTTCCTACCATCAGAATAGACAACAAGTTTTAATCTCCTCAGCTGAGCCCCGCTGTCCAGGGAAGCAGAAGTCTCTGAGCCCGGCCCAGGTGAGAGTGGGGTGAGGAGAGGAGCTCAGGGTGCAGATTTGCATGAAGGCCCCACCCTCCTCTGAGGCAGAGGGGATAAGACAAGTCTGGGGGTAGGCCCAGCGCTGGGGTCTCAGGAGGCAGCGCTCTCTCGGGACGTCTCCACCATGGCCTGGGCTCTGCTCCTTCTCACCCTCCTCACTCAGGGCACAGGTGACGCCTCCAGGGAAGGGGCCTTGGGGACCTCTGGGCTGATCTTTGGTCTCCTGCTCCTCAGACTCACCTGGGCCCAGCACTGACTCACCAGAGTGTATTTCTCCCTCTTTCCAGGGTCCTGGGCCCAGTCTGTTCTGACTCAGCCTCGCTCAGTGTCCAGGTCTCCTGGACAGTAGGTTACTATCTTCTGCACTGGAACCAGCAGTGACATTGGGGGTTATGACCTTGTCTCCTGGTGCCAGTAGCACCCAGGCAAAGCCCCCAAACTCATGATTTATGATGTCGGTAATTGGCCCTCAGGGGCCCCTGGTTGCTTCTCTGGCTCCAAGTCTGGCAACACGGCCTCCCTGACCATCTCTGGGCTCCAGGCTGAGGACGAGGCTGATTATTACTGCAGCTCATATGCAGGCAGCTACAATTTCCACAGTGGTCCAAGTTCATGCGTAATGAGACCAAAACCTGCCCTGGTCTCTCAGGCTCTCTCTCGCTATGAAGGTGCTTCCTTACCCTGTGCAGAAGAGGGCTTCATGCAACATGGCCTTGAGAATTTCATCCACTCTCAGCCCCTCTCCCCTCCAACAATGAAATGCAAAAGAAACATGCTCTCTGGTTAATTGTCTAGGGACAATGGCAGCTTCTTCTTTTCCTGTGTGATATGGTCCTGCATGGTGACTCTTTCCAACTTTTCAATGGCAGGGACAGAGCAATAGGATCCATCTGCTCAGTACCATTTCTGCAGTTTTCTATGAAACCCTCACATTAAATGCCTCCATCTCCCACACTGTGCTGACTGGCCTGGGTCTGTGCTCCAGAAATAACGTCTTACTCAACTCCATATCCACCACGCTGTAGTAAGGATGGCTGTCTTTGCTGGGTTATTTGTTCCTCTGCAGGTCTCTTCCCAAAGCAACACCAACTGAGAGAAGATCTGAAGATGTTGAGAGAGTGAGCATAAAAGTAAAGGGTTTTATTTATTTGCTTTCTTTTTTTTTTAACTTTGTTTTTATTTATTTTTTTGATACAGAGTTTTGCTCTTGTTGCCCAGGCTGGAGTGCAATGGTGCAATCTCAGCTCACTGCACCCTCTGCCTCCCGGGTTCAAGCGATTCTCCTGCCTCAGCCTCCTGAGTAGCTGGGACTACAGGCACGCGCCACCATGCCCAGCTAATGTAGAGATGGGGTTTCACCATGTTGGCCTGGCTGGTCTTGAACTCCTGGCCTCAGGTGATCTGCCCACCTCAGCCTCCCGAAGTGCTGGCATTACAGACATGAGCTACCATGCCTGGCCTTGTTTTTATTTTTTAGAGTTCCTTTGTCTTTGACCCGATGTCTATCTATGGGGGCTTAGCCAGGGCACATTTGAGTGATTGTTCTTTGCGAGAACATTGTTCTTTGCAGATCATTAAACCCCTGTCCTGGAAACAGTCCTGTACTTAGACTGTCTCCCTGTTAGCATGGGCTCTTTCCTAAATGATCCACAGGAAAGCTTATTTGGTGGATGGGTCTTCTGTTCCTCAAGGACTCTATGGGTAGTTTATTTTCAAGGTGAGCCAATACTGTTTCTAGCTGGAATCTCATTTAATCTCATAACCATGAGAATTAATTTTTTAAACCTGCAGGGTGTTCTCTAGCCATTTTTTAATTTTCTTTGATTTTGTGAGCCACTTTTAAATTATAATCATCATTAAACCTTAAAACATATAAACTTCAATTAAGCAGATTATATATTTTATTTTATTTTTTGAGACAGAGTCTCGGTCTGTTGCCCAGGCTGGAGTGCAGTGGCACAATCTTGGCTCGCTGCAAACTCTGACTCCCGGGTTCAAGTGATTTTCGTGCCTCAGCCTCCCGAGTAGCTGGAATTACAGGCATGTGCCATCACGCCTAGCTAATTTTTGCATTTTTAGTAGAGACGGGGTTTCACCGTGTTGGCCAGGCTGGTCTCGAACTTCTGACCTCGTGATCCACCCGCCTCGGTCTCCCGAAGTGCTGGGATTACAGGCATGAGCCATCAAGACCAGCCACATATTTTTAAAAAGTACATTGGTTATTATCCACATACCTTTGGACTGCTATAACACAATACCTTAAACTGGTGGCTTATAAAAACAGAAATGTATTTCTTACACTCGTGGAGGCTGGGAAGTCTTAAGATCAATGTGCTGGCAGATTTGGTGTCTAATGACTGTCTGCTTCCTCATAGAGGCCATTTTCTCACTGTGTCCTTGGAACTGAGGACAAAGCAGCTCCTGGTAAAGTTCAGATGTCTGTTTCTTGCAGGAAAATTTCTCTTTACAGTGATCTGGGCTACTGGCTCCAACACACGCACCCAGATGGATTTCTGAGCCGGTCATTGACCATTACCATTTTAATATTATCTCAAATTATAAACATTATCTCAACTATTGTTTAATATAATATAGCACATAAATGTTTAAAGCATACATAGCGAAACAAGGGTCTTACATTCAAAACTGTCATTTCCCCAATCACCCATCTCCTTGTCCACCAAGCCCCAGTGCCACCACTTAGCTCATTGCTCCTTTGGCTTCACTTTCTGGTGCTCTTGCAAGTGTCTGTCATGTGTTACAAACAACAACAAATAGTCCTCCAAGAACGTTTACCTCCATAGAATCCCTATCCTGTTTCCTGAGTGGACATTTCCATTTTTAATCTGGCAAAGATCAGTCAGCCCTGATTAGTGTTTTAAACTCATATCCATCTCTTTCTAGAAAAACACACTAGGTTAAGCATCTCTCTGTGGATGGGGGACCCTCATGAAGGCACACAGCTCTGAGCTGAGGTGGCCTCAATGTGTACAATGGAGCAAGACAAAGAAAAGTCCCATGTTCTGTGTGATAGACAGACAGGCACTGATGAGAGGTCTCCAGAGCTGGCGCCCTTAGTCTAATCTTGACTCTAGTCCTCGTCTTTCCGACCCTTAAACACTAGAATTCCTGGTCTGCATTCCATTAGGTCATTCTTAAATCTAGTGAGCTGTATCTCCTTCATGCAATGTTTTTCTTTCACTATTATTTTCAGCTTTATTGACATATAATTGACAAATAAAAATTCTATATATTTATGGTATACAACTTGATATATTAATACATTTGTTGTACATTGATATATTTGTTGTGAAATTACTGCAATAATTGTGTGAAATCACAATCAATCTAATTCACATAAAATAACCTTACATAATTATCATCTTCTTTCTTTTTTTTTTTTTTTTGGTGAGAACACTTACAATCTACCAAATTAGCAAATTTAAAGTAAATAATGCAATATTGTTAACCATAGTCACATTGCGGTACATTAGCTATCTAGAACTTATTCATCTTGTATCACTGTACTCTTTTATACCCTTTGATAAACATCTCCCCATTTCCCTTTTCCCTCCCCAGTCCTGACACCCACCATTTTACTCTCTGGTTCTATGAGTTTGAATATTTTAGATTCTACATGCAAATAAGATCATGCAGTATTTGCCTTTCTGTTTCTGGCTTATATCAGTTAACATAATGTCCTCCAGCTTTATCCATGTTGTTGCAAATGATGGGATTTCCTTTATTTTTTAAAACTTGGCAATATTTGTGTGTGTGTATGTGTGTGTATGTATGTATGTATGTGTGTGCATGCACCACATTTTCTTTATCCATTCATTTGTCATCAGAAATTTAGGTTGTTTCCATGTGTTGGCTATTGTGAATAATGTTGCAAAAGACATGGGAGAACAGATATCTATTCAAGATTCTGATTTCATTTTGTTTTGAGATATGCCCAGAATTGGTATTGCTGGATTATATGGTAGTTCTATTTTTAATTTTTTAAGGAATCCCCATACATTTTCTACAATGGCTGTTTAGTTTACATTCCTTTCAACAGTGTACAAGAGTTTCTTTTGTCCACATCCTTGCCAACATTTGTTATCGTTTATCTTTTTGATAAATTACAGGCACGTGCCAACACACCTGGCTAATTTTTTATATTTTTGGTAGAGACGGGGTTTCACCATGTTGGCCAGGCTGGTTTAGAACTCCTGACCTCAAGTGATCCACTGCCTCGGCCTCTCAAAGTGCCGGGATTACAGGTGTGAGCCACCATGCCTGGCCTATTTTTTCTATTTCTATAAAGAATGACATTTGTGTATTGATAGGTCTAGCATTGAATCTGGAGATCACTTTAGGTAGTATGAACATTTAAGAATATTAGTTCTTCCAATTTATAAACACGAGATGTCTTGATATTTATCTGTATCTTCTTTAACATTCTTCATCACTGTTTTATAATTTCCAGTGTAAAACTCTTTCACCTCCTTCGTTAAGTTTATTCCTAAGTACTAATTCCTTTTGTAAATGTGATTGCTTTCTTAATTTTATTTTCATATATTTACTGTCTGTGTGTAGAAACGTCATCAATTTTTGTATGTTGATTTTTTTATCCTTCAAATTTACTTAATTTAGTTTTAACAGACTTTTTGTTATTGTGGAGTCTTTAGGTTTTTCTACACTTATGTTTATGTCATCTGCACACAAAGATTAGGATTTTAATCCTTCTTTTCCAATTTGGATGCGTTTCATTTCTTTTTCTTGTCGAATTTCTCTGGTTAGGGATTCCAGTGCAATGTTGAATTAAAATAAGTGGAGAGGGGGCATCTTGCCTTGTGTGGGATCTTAGGGGAAAAGCTTCTGTTTTTTTCCCATTGATTATGATGTTAGTTGTGGGCTTTTCACATATGGTTTTTATTGTGTTGTGGTAAGTTTCTTCTGTACCTATTTCATTTTATTTTTGTTTTTTTAAATATTTATTTTATAATAGAGATTAATTTTGCTATGTTGCCCAGGCTGGTCTTGAACTCTTGGGCTCAAGCGATCCTCCTGCCTTAGCCTCTCAAAATACTGGGACTACAGGCATGAGCCACTGTGCCCGGCCTATCACTATTTTGTTGAGAGTTCTTTTCTTTTCTTTTCCTTTTTTTTCCATTGCTTTCTTTTCTTTTCCTTTCCTTTTTTCCTTTCCTTCCTTTTCTTTTCCTTTCTTTTCTCCTCCTCCTCCTCTTCCTCTTCTTTTTTCTTTCCTCCTCCTCCTCCTTCTTCATCTTCATTTAAAATCATGAATGGATGTTGAATTTGGCCACATGCCTTTTGTACATCTGTGGACATAATCATATGTGTGTGTGTGTGTGTGTGTGAATCTTTCAGCCTGTGGATGCGCTATACCATCCTTGCACATGCGGAATCATCCTTTTATCCAGGGATAAACCCCACCTGTTCCTGATGTATGATCTTCTTAACATACTGTTGAATTTGGTTTGCTAGTATTTTACTGAGAATTTTTGCATTTAATATCTGTTAATGTTTATCAGAGGTAGACTGGCTTGCAGTTTTTTTTCTTTTCTGGTGTTGTCTTTGCTTTGTTTTGGTATCAGGGTGATCCCGACCTCATAAAACAATTTTGGAAGTGTTCCCTTTTCTATTTTTTGGAAGACTTTAAGAAGAATTAATATTAACTCATCTTTGAATGTTTGGTAGAACATTCAGCTATGAAGCCATCTGGTCCTGGGCTTTTCTTTGTTGAGATATTTTTGATTATTGAGTCAATCTCCTTCTTTGTTATTGGTATGTTCAGGCTTTGTATTTTTTATTGATTTGCTTTTTTTTTTAAGTTGACTGTTTCTAGGAATTTATTTATGTCTTTTAATTTATCTAGCTTGGTGTATAATTTTTCAAAATAGTCCCTTATGATCCTATTTATTTATTTGAGACAGGGTCTTTCTCTGTCACCCAGGCTAGAGTGGAGAGGCTTGACCACAGCTCACTGCAGCCACAACCTCCCAGGCTCAAGTAATCCTCCCACCTCAGCTTTCTGAGTAGCTGGGACTACAGGCATGCACCACCATGCCTGGATAATTTCTTTTTCTTTCTTTCTTTCCTTTCTTTCCTTTCTTTCCTTTCTTTCCTTTCTTTCCTTTCTTTCCTTTCTTTCCTTTCTTTCCTTTCCTTTCCCTTTCTTTCTTTCTTTCTTTCTTTCTTTCTTTCTTTCTTTCTTTCTTTCTTTCTTTCTTTCTTTCTTTCTTTCTTTCTTTCTTTCTTTCTTTCTTTCTTTCTTTCTTTTCTTCTTTTTTTTGTATAGATGTGACCTCACTGTGTTGCCCAGGCTGGTCTTGAATTCCTGGGCTCCAGAGATCCACCTGCCTCGGTCTCCCAAGTGTTGGGATTACAGGTGTGAGCCTTTTTATTTCTGAGAAATCTGTTGTAATAGCTCCTTTTTTCATTTTGGATTTTATTTGAGTCTTCTCTCTTTTTTCACAGTGTAGCTAAGGATTTGTCAACTTCGTTTAATTTTTCAGAAAACCATCTCTTAGTTTTGTTTTTTTCTATTATCTGTTTGATTTATTTCTGCTGTAATCTTTATTATTTCATTTTTTTCTGCTAAGTTTGGGCTTAGTTTGTTCCTCTTTTTCTAGTTCGTTGAGTTATAATTTTAGGTTGCTTATTTGAGATCTTTCTTCTTTTTTAATGTTTGCTTATCTCCATAAACTTCCCACTTAGCACTGCTTTTACTGCATCCTATAGGTTTGGTGTGCTGTGTTTTAATTTTCATTTGAAGATATTTTTAAAATTCCCTTTGGTTTTCCTCTTTGACCCAATGCTTGTTCAACATGTGATGTTTGATTTCTGCCTATTTGTGAATTTTTCCATTTTTTTTTACTGTTATTAATTTCCAGATTCATTTCTTGTTGTAAAAAAAGATTTTTGGAATGATTTAATTCTCCTTACATTTCTTAAGACTTGTTTTGTGACCAAACATGAGCTCTCTCCTGGAGAATATACCCTGTGCATGTAAGAAGACATTTTGAGAACCCAGGTGGTCTTTTCTCATACCATTTTTCTCACCCAGTGCTCATACTGAGGTTAGTTCATTTTACATCTAACATTTTCTCAGCCTGGAGCTAAGACACCTCATGTACCTTTGACAAAGCCATTCTAGCACAAGCAAAACGGTCCTGAGAACGAGTATCTTAGCCACCTGGTATGGCAGAGGACACATTCATCATGGAAAAAGTCTGAGGAAAAGGGTCAAGATTAGCATGGATCGAGGGTCTGGTCCTGAGCTGGGAGGAGAAAAAGGCAGGTTGGAGTGGGACCAAACCAGGTATTTCTATCTCTCACTTAGAATTGTGTCTTGGTACTTGAGATGAACCATCTGAGGCCACCAGGGGGCAGCAGGGGACTAGGTTGGAGAAGATGATTGATAAAGTTTATCCTGACCTTTAAGAAGCCCCTGAGTCGGCCGGGCGCGGTGGCTCACACCTGTAATCCCAGCACTTTGGGAGACTGAGGAGGGTGGATCATAAGGTCAGAAGATCGAGACCATCCTGGCCAACGTGGTGAAACCCCGTCTCTACTAAAAATACAAAAATTAGCTGGGCGTGGTGGCTTATGCCTGTAATCTCAGCTAGTCGCGAACCTGAGGCAGGAGAACTGCTTGAACCAGGGAGTTGGAGGTTGCAGTGAGCCGAGATGGCGCCACCGTGTTCCAGCCTGGTGACAGCGCGAGACTCCATCTCAAAAAAAAAAAAGTCCCTGAATCTCAAAAAAAAGAATGTGACTTTATGATTAACTATGAACAGCTGCTCATTAATAAAAAGCCATTAAAAAAAAAAAAGAAATCCCAAGAGCTACTTACCCTTGAATATCTCTAAAGGTACTGGGAAGCAGTGCTCCAAATCTGTTGTGGCCCAGTGAATTCCTTTTTAGAAGCACCATTAATGGTCCTAGTTCAACATGTCAGGCCCCAGCTTTAAACCACTGCAGGGGCAGGGGATGTAGCAGTGCTTAGAACCCACCTTAGCTGAGAGGACCAAGATGGTTGGGCAGGGGATGAGGGAAATGAGAAGTTCCAGCACTGTCTGAAGTCTCTGGGAGGAGGAGTGATTGAACTTTCCCACCCGGCCTGGGAGCAGCCTGTCCTCACATTCATCCCTCACAGCACAAAGGAGAAGTCCTGGTTTCCTCAGCCTGGAGCTCCTGCAATAGTGAGGGTTAGGATATCTCTGGACTGGCCTGATGTCCTGGGCACTCTCATGGGTTCAGTCTCAGGAAATCCATGCCTAGGCTGGATTAATACCCTCAGCTGAGCCTCACAGGGAAGCAGAAGTCTCTGAGCCCAGGCCCAGGTGAGGGTGGGGTGAGGAGAGGAGCTCAGGACACAGATTTGCATGGAGGCCCTGCCCTCCTCTGAGGCGGGGGGATAAGACAGGGCTAGAGGCAGGCCCGGTGCTGGGGTCTCAAGGCAGCGCTCTCGGGACATCTCCACCATGGCCTGGGCTCTGCTCCTCCTCACCCTCCTCACTCAGGGCACAGGTGACACCTCCAGGGAAATGGCCTTGGGGACCTCTGAGCTGATGCTTGGTCTTCTGCTCCTGCTCCTCAGGGTCACTGGACCCAGTACTGACCCAGTAGAGTGTGTTTCTCCCTCTTTCCAGGGTCCTGGGCCCAATCTGCCCTGACTCAGCCTCCTTTTGTGTCCGGGGCTCCTGGACAGTCGGTCACCATCTCCTGCACTGGAACCAGCAGTGACGTTGGGGATTATGATCATGTCTTCTGGTACCAAAAGCGTCTCAGCACTACCTCCAGACTCCTGATTTACAATGTCAATACTCGGCCTTCAGGGATCTCTGACCTCTTCTCAGGCTCCAAGTCTGGCAACATGGCTTCCCTGACCATCTCTGGGCTCAAGTCCGAGGTTGAGGCTAATTATCACTGCAGCTTATATTCAAGTAGTTACACTTTCCATAGTGGTCCAAGTTCCTAGGGAACTGAGACCAAAACCTGCCCTGGGCTCTCAGGCTCTGTCTTTGCTCTGAAGATGCTTCCTCACCCTGTGCCAGGGGCTTCCTGCAACAGGGCCTTGAGAATTCACTTCTCTGTCAGCTCCTCTCCTTTTCCATCAATTCCCAAAGGAAACCTCCTCTCTTGTTTACTCTCCGGGATATGACAGCTTCTTCTTCACTCGTATGACGGATGTCCTCTCTGAATTGGAAACTACTTCTAGCTCTTTAACAGGAAGTACATACCGGCAGGGAAATGCCTGCCTAGTGCAGTCCCCATACTTCTCCGGATGATCCTCACTTTATTATTTATTTTTATTTTTGTATGCACTAAAGTCGTCAATGTAAATCCTTACGTCGAATGCCTCCACTTCCCACATTGTGTAGCACAGCCTGGATTCAGTTCTTCAGAAATGACGTCCTCTTCAATGATAAAGGACCACTGCTCTGTGAACACCCCACTCTAGTGAAGATAGCCCACCTTGCTGGGTTATTCATGTACATCTTTTGTGGAAGCAGTAACCACTGTGTAAAGCTCCAAAGATGTTTTAAAGCAATGAAAACAAAGAGGAAGAAGTGTGTGTGTGTGTGTGTGTGTGTGTGTGTGTGTGTGTGTGTGTAGGGTCCATCCTGTTTGCCCTAATATCTCAGGTTGCCGAGCTAGGGAGTATTTGAGTGACAGACTTGGTGCCCTCTCAGGATCCTCCTCCTCTCACATCACTGAGTCCCTGTCCTGGAAACACCCTACAGGTGGACAATCTCCCCATAGTATGGAAGTTTCCAAAATGGCTCCACAGGGAAGAGTTGAGCTGAACACACCCACTCTTTCTCATGGGCATCAAATATATCTAATTTTTCTGGGGAAATCATCAATTTCTAGCTGGAATCCTGATTAATCGACAGACTGTGAGAATTAAAAATTTTAAAAATATTCAGACATATCCAGAGTCCAGTATTTAAATTCTCTGGAATTTTGTGAGCCAATCTTTAAACATAGTTATTATTGTAGTTTAGAGTTCATGAACCTGAATTAAATAGATTCTAGTAAACATAAAGTGCCTTAGTTGTCTATTGTTGCATAAAAATTACTCCTAAAATTAACATATTCTTAATGAGAACACATATGCATTAATCTGTTTTCGCACTGCTATAAAGAAATACCTTATTTATAAAAGAAAGAGGTTTAACTGGCTCACAGTTCCACATGGCTGGGGAGGCCTCAGGAAACTTACAATCATGGTAGAAGGCAAAGGAGAAGCAAGAACTTTGTTCACAAGGTGGCAGGTGAGAAGAGCTGGGGAGGGTGAACTTCCAAATACTTTTTTTTTTGAGATGGAGTCTCACTCTGTTGCCCAGGCTAGAGTGCAGTGGCGTGCTCTCGGCTCACTGCAGCTTCTGCCTCCCAGGTTCAAGTGATCCTCCTACCTCAGTCTCCGAGTAGCTGTTATTACAGGCATGCGTCACCAAGACCGACTAATTTTTATATTTTTAGTAGAGATGGGGTTTTACCATGTTGACCAGGCTGGTCTCGAACTCCTGACCTCAAGTGATTTGCACACCTAGGCCTCCCAAGGTGCTGGGATTACAGGCGCAAGCCATTGTGCCTGGCCCCAGACACTTTTAAAACCATCAGCTCTCATGGTAACTCCCTACCCATCACGAGAACAGCAAGGGGAAAACTGCCCCCATGATCCAATCCCTTCCGTCCCTCAACATATGGGGATTACAAGTCCCTCCTTCAACACATGGGGATTACAATTTGAGAAGAGATTTGGGTGGAGACACAGAGCCAAACCATATTAATGTATTTGTGATCTTGTAGTTTTCTTGCATCAAGAATCTGAGAGCTGCTTAGTTTGGTGGTTCTGACTCTGGGCTCCTCATGAAATTGCAGCCAAGCTGTCAGGCGGGGCTGCATTCAGAGGCCAGAGCAGGTGGCCAGGCCCAGCCTGAGGGGGCTTCTACTGTCCCTAACCTCTTTGGCAGATGTAGATGAAGTCAGGGAAAAGGGGAGCTCCCCACAGTGGGTAGCATCCCAGTGTCAGAGGGAAGGCACCATGGAGCAGTGGGACCAGCACAGGACCCTGGGGGTGCACTCAGACCTACCTGGAGGGATGGCAAGAAGGGGCATTCACAGCAGGGACAGGATAAAGGGCCTCTGCCCCATGTCCAGAGCTGTCTTGGCAGCTCAGTCACATTGGTTATCAGGTAAATCGGAGGTAAACCCTATCCTGAGTTTTACCACTGAAAATGGGTACAATTTGAACTAGGAGTGTTTTCAGACTTTTTCTTTCCATATTGACTTCTTAATAACCGCGATTTAATTTTTTTTAACCCCAGCCTAGTTTAGCTACATAGCTTCCAAATGTCATGCTACTGTGAAACTGAGCAATTAGTTACTTTTATCAGAGCATTTTAAATTTGAACAGGTTCCTTGGTCTTTCTATGTGTAATTAGTCAAAGCTTAGGTATGGAGTAGAGGATCTTTACCAAATGCTTTTCTAGACTCTGTTTTCATTGGACTTATAGCAGCTGTTTCACCTGGGCCATGCAGGAATAGGAGAGTTGTTGCTCCTTGACATAGCATCTGTAACATGCCTATCCTTTCTGCCACTATAAAAATAGCTGTGCTTTCTCTCCACTCGTCTCTCCTGCTGTTTCCCTGTTTTTCCTATTAAATATGCAGTGTTTGCAATCCATCTTGCATTCTGAGAAGATGAGGATTTTTTTTCATAAAGAATGACCTAAAATAGCTCTAAAGATCATCAGAAGTCACAACTACATACTTACTGGAGTGCAATACCAAATGTGGCCTCTGATTACAGTAACCTGGAGCTTGCAGTTTAAGCAATTCAGTCCCTGTCACTTGTGGACAGATTCGTATGTCTGTGGATGAGAAGATGAGCAACGGTCACTCCTGTGCTCATGCACAGATCCCTCCCTGCCCCTGTCCTCAAATTCAGACTGAAGTGCATGGCCCTGGAGCATTACATGAGTGATGGTTTAAGAGCACGTTGGTGATACACACAATATTAATGGTATCTTAATTTGCTTGTTAAGCATAATTTGAAAACATCTGGACAAATTTGGACACAATTTGAAGGGCATATTTGATAATAGCTTGTGACAAATGATTCCGTTCTGGGAGAGATGCTATTTTTGGTTCTCTAAATCGCCATGAAATGAAAATCTCAGATTATAAAGAAATAGACTCAAATCCCAAGTGTCTTTTGCTTTTCATTCCCCATCAACTGTGTTGCCCAAGCACCATGTGGACACTGCTTACAGGGTAGGCAGCCACCAGCTGAAGGCAGGTTCTTTAGTTGTCTGAGCTGTCCTGGAGCTGGGAACAGCAGCGTGTGTTCTGTGCCTGTTGGTCCCTATGTAGCACACACCCACTGCATATTCTCGCTGACTCACCAGGAGGGCTTGCAGCAGCCCTGGCCTATTTTCTTCTGAAGCACCTGCCAATGGTGCATTCTCCCCTGGTCATAATGCACCAGGAGATAAACATGGCATTTGACACACAGGTGCTAACTGGATCTAGGACTTCTAAGCTTAAGTAGACTCAGAGTGGGCAATCTAAAAAAAAAAAAAAAAATAGGTTCTCAATCGGTAGCCCAGGCTGGAGTGCAGTGGCTCCATCTCCTACCTCAGCCTCCTGAGTTGCTGGGACAACAGGTGTGTGCCACCATGCCCAGCCAACAGAGAGGGCAATATGGACTTGAAATGGACAATTTCCATTACTTGAAAGTTTTTGAGAAAGAACTGAGGTTTGTTTAAGAGGAAATCAGCCAGAGACTCAAAGTTAAATCTATCAGGCCCAAAGTCTCTTTGGGGAAAGGAGACTCTTGGACGTGCACGCAGCAGCAAGTGGTATGGGATCCCTTCTCTGTGGGGACCTTGGCCCAACTGCCAATCTTTTCAACTGACCCATTTGCGTTTTCCATAAGTGCTCGCCAGCCAGCAGCTGTGACTGCCCCTCAGTCTCAGGAAGGGAGAAAGAAGGAAACAGGAGCAAAGCCTCTTTCAATCTTAGCAAATAAAGTGGGAGCTTTGACTTTTTTGAACACCCAGATGACAGGAAAGAGGAGGAAAATTTTCCTAAAGCTGTTATTTTTTAATGCCTCAGGAAGAATCACACCCGGAGTCTCATCCACACTTTATTTGGAGGTATTTGGGTCTCAGAGTTTGTGCTGAGTTAGTTAATGATTTGGGCTACTGGGATGGGGTGAATGTGTTTTACAAGTGAGAAAGAAATAAGCTTTGGAGTCCACAGGGTGGAGGCTTATTGGCTAAATTGTGTCCCTCAAGATTCATGCAATGAAGCCTTAATCACAGTGTGTGACTAAATTTGGAGACAGGGTCTTTATGGAGGTGATTAAGTGAAAATGAGGTCATGAGGGTGGGTTCTTATCCAGTCTGACTGGTGTTCTCCTTAGAAGAGAAAATTTGCACACACAGAAATCAGACACCAGAGATGAGCAGGCGGAGGAAAGACCATGTGAGGTCACAGCAAGGAGGTAACGACCTGCAAGCCAAGGAGAGAGGCCTCAGGGAAAATCAGTCCTACCAACACTTTCACCCTGGACTTTCCAGCTTCAGCACTGAGAAAATAAGTTTTGCTGTTGAGGCCACTAGTTCTTTGGTATCTTGTGATGGCAGCACTGGCAAATGAAAACAAGAGGGACCCCAAAGACCTTGGGTAGGGGGAACAGATGGAGCAGGGTGCAGGAGGCAGGGCAGGGAGGGGCTGGAAGGTCATGCTCTGAGGTTCGTTTCCTGGATGGAACTGGGACTCCACTCACTACTGTCTGGGGAACTTGGGGAAAAAACTTCACCTCCCAATATTGATTCCCTAATAAAATCTGGGCCCTGAGCATAGGGCTCCTCATCTTCCTACTCCATATGATGCAAGTTTTCTTGAAGTTATGCTTGTAAAACACTCACCAATGCATCTGGCATATATTAAGGGCTCAAAAGTAGGCCAGGCATGGTGGCTTATGCCTGTAATCCCAATACTTTGGGAGGCCGAGGTGGGGGATCACTGGAGTCCAGGAGTTCCAGACCAGCCAGGCCAACATGGTGAAACTCCATCTCTACTAAAAATACAAAAAAAAAAAAAAAATAGCTAGGCATGGTGGTGCCCTTCTGTAATCTCAGCTATTCAGGAGGCTGAGGCAGGGGAATAGCTTGAGCCTGAGAGGCGGAGGTTGCGGTGAGCCCAGATGGTGCCATTGCACTCCAGCCTAGATGATAGAGTGAGACTCCATCACAAAAAGGAAAAAAAAAAGGTTGTCATTCTGCAGCCCAGATCGTGCCATTGCACTCCAGCCTGGACGATAGAGTGAGACTCCACCACACACACACACAAACGCACACACACACAAAAACTAACCCCCGCCCCGCAAAAATCGAAGGTAGCCATTCTGCTGTATGATCTATTGATACATACAGGATGACATTTGTCCTGTGGGCACCAGGGGGCACTGTGACCCCTGGTTTGGGACACTAATGGCTCCAAGTCCCTGGTAGTACTTGAGTCATTTCCTTTCTGGCCCCTTCTATTGAGTGGAATCCTGAAACCCACCTGACTCTTCTACTCTTGAAAAATTACGCAGAGAATGTCCTCAGACATAGGGTCAGACAAGAACTTCGACATACATTTTAAAGAATGGAGAGCAGATTTACATCCGCTGCTTAACAGGGAACCAACTAACAAAGAATTAAGAATAAAGGAAGTAGAGTTGCATGAAGAGACTCCCCTTTCTATGATAAGAAAGGCCTGAAGGTCCCTTCCCAGCTGTGGACTCAGAGGCAGAGCTCTGGGGCATTTCCATTATGGCCTGGACCCCTCCCCTGCTCGTCCTCACTCTCTGCACAGGTGCTGCCTCCCAGGGCTCAGCCCCCAGTGGGATCAAGATCAGCCTGGCCCTGACCTTCAACTCAACATAGGGAGTGATGCAGGGTGTGGGGTTCTGGGAATGAGGCCCTCATCCTCAGACTCACCTCTCCTGTCCTCTCTTGTGGGCTCCGTTATTTCCTCTGGGCCAACTCAGGTGCCTGCAGTGTCTGTGGCCTTGGGACAAATGGCCAGGATCACCTGCCAGGGAGACAGCATGGAAGGCTCTTATGAACACTGGTACCAGCAGAAGCCAGGCCAGGCCCCCGTGCTGGTCATCTATGATAGCAGTGACCGGCCCTCAAGGATCCCTGAGCGATTCTCTGGCTCCAAATCAGGCAACACAACCACCCTGACCATCACTGGGGCCCAGGCTGAGGATGAGGCTGATTATTACTATCAGTTGATAGACAACCATGCTACTCAACTCACAGTGACACAGGCAGATGGAAAAGTGAGACACAAACCCTTTTTCTGTCTGTGTCACTCACTTCCTCCGGCCCCAGCAGGACTGTGGACACAGCCATGGGCAGGTCTGGCTCAGTTTTCCTGGATCTGAGACCCCAGGGTGCCCTGACCTCCAAGCCCTCCAGGGAGACTCTGAAGAGAGTGGGTTAGGTCAGGAGAGGACTTGGGGCTGGCAGGACCAGACTGTCCTGGTATTGTCCAGAGTGGCTGTGTCTTGGCTTAAGATGACCTGAGTGTAAGGATAGTCAGAGGGAGACAGCCATTGAGTGGTAATGGTCCCTGGATTTCCTTCTGTATGGTGACTGGACCTAAGGCAGTGCTGCTTTTCTGTGGCCCAAATGCCCCAGATCATTCTGAACTTCTCAGGTTTAACTGAGACCCTCAAGCCCCAGCTCCATGACATCCTCATATTCTGAACAGGGAGGGCCACCACAATGGGCAGTGTGGTGTCCATCAAGATTCCCCTTTCAGGGCTCACCCATCCGCCATACACCCAAAGCTGCCGGGAGGCCCTGGCTTCTCACAGCTGCTCCCCACCGGAAAATGCCATTGATTGCAAAGAATGGCCTCCCCCAAAAGTTTGCCCATGTCAGAGCGTGGCTCAGGTGCAATGACTGCTTGATGCCTCAATCCCAAAGTCAGGCCTTAATTTAGGATGGCCTTGAAGTGTGTTGCAGCTGAGCACTCAATTGTAACACATTCCCACTCATGCCTCCCATACTTCTTTCCTGAGAATATATCCCTAAACCTCACTGCATGGAATTCCCCCTCTCAGAGTAGGAGTCTGGGGAATTAAAAGATTTAAAAACAAACCAAAACAGTCCAAAGGGAAGAGTAACAAAGAGGAGAGAGTTGCACAGAGAGAGGACTCTGGAGTCTGCAAATGTTCGTGAGCACCGATGAGCACATATGTGGGAGGAAACAACCTCTGGAAGAGAAAAGAACCATCCAAAGACACTTGAGAGAACACTCCAGAGCGTGTGTGCACGCACACACACACACACTCACACCCCACATAAAGAAAACAACAACACTCATCATCATCAAATTGCTAAAAAACATTTTAGCAATTTTATGCTAAAATGATGATGAAGAAATGTGGTGAAGAAATGTAGCCTTAAAAGTAGCCAGAGAGACGAGGTGGCTCACGCCTGTAATCCAAGCACTTTGGGAGGTCGAGGCAGGTGGATCACCTGAGGTCAGGAGTTTGAGACCAGGCTGGCCAACATGATGAAACCCCGTCTGTACTAAAAATACAAAAAAGTTAGCCGGATGTGGTGGCAAGCGTCTATAATCCCAGCTACTCGGGAGGCTGAGGCAGGGAGAATTGCTTGAACCTGAGAGGTTGCAGTGAGCTGAGATCGCACCACTGCATTCCAGCCTGGGCAACAGAGCAAGACTCAATCTCAAAAAAAAAAAAAAAAAAAAAGTCAGAGGCAAAAGACATGTTAGATACAGGTGAACACAATGACAAGAGCAGAATTTTTATTAGAAGCAATGCAAGCAGGAAGTAGTGGAGCTATATTTATAAAATATGAAAAGAAAAAACTTATAACCCAGAGCAATCTACAGCCTCACTGAAATCCCTACCAAAATACCAATGACATACCTCACAGAAATAGAAGAAAAACCCCACAATTCTACAATTTGTATGGAGCCACAAAAGACCCAGTATAGCCAAAATGACACTGAGCAAAAAACAAAACTGGAGGCATCACATTACCTAATTCAAAATATGCTACAAACGGCCGGGCGCGGTGGCTCACGCCTGTAATCCCAGCACTTTGGGAGGCTGAGGCGGGCGGATCACGAGGTCAGGAGATCGAGACCATCTTGGCTAACACGGTGAAACCCCATCTCTACTAAAAATACAAAAAATTAGTTGGGCGTGGTGGCGGGCTCCTGTGGTCCCAGTTACTCTGGAGGCTGAGGCAGAAGAACGGCGTGAACCCGGGAGGCGGAGCTGGCAGCGAGCCAAGATCGCGCCACTGCACTCCAGCCTGGGTGAGAGAGCAAGACTCCGTCTCGAAGAAAAAATAAATAAATAAAATAATAGGCCATATGTGATGGCTCACACCTGTAATCCCAGCAGTTAGGAGGCCAAGGTGGGAGGATTGCTTGAGCACAGGAGTTTGAGACCACCTTGGGCAATATAATGAAACCCTCATCTCCACAAATTTTTTTTTTTAAATTAGCCAGCCTTGGTGGAGTGAGCCTGTGGTCCCAGTTACTTGGGAGGCTGAAGTGGGAGGATCACTTGAGCCCAGGAGGTGGAGGTTGCAGTGAGTCATGATCTTACCACTGCACTCTAGCCTGGGCAACAGAGAAAGACACTGCTTCAAAAGCAAGCAAACAACCAAAAAATCAAGTAATATCATTGAAAAGGGGGCAAAGGATCAGAATAGACTTTTCTCAAAAGAAGATAAACAGGTGGCCAACAAGCATATGAAAAAATGCTCAACGTCACTAATCATCAGGTGAATGCAAATCAAAGCCACAACGAGACATCATCTTACCCCAGCTGGAAAGGCTATCATTAAAAAGACAAAAAAATAACAAGTGCTGGTGAAGATGCAGACAAAACAGAAGACAAAAACCACGTGATCATCTCAACAGTCACATCAAATGTTTTCATGTAGGGAAACATTACTGTTTGTGATTTTCCAGACTTGCTAGAGCATCATAAAAAGTAAGATTTGTGGTGCCGATATTGGAGGGGGTGTTATTCTGTGCAAAAAACCTGGATATCCCATATCCAACTGTGAAGATACTTACTGATAAATGCTAAAAAATTGCAATATTGTGTGTCCAAATGTTCTGGGGGTCAGGAGTGGGGTCTCACACGGGAAAGGATTCAGTCAAAGAGAAAAATAGAGAGGCTAGAACATAGAGGAAAACATAATATGTCTGGAAATAAGGAGTCCAAACTAATTGGAGCTGAGTGATAACAAAAGAACAATGGCATGAACCATCTATTTCTCTCTGGAAATCTCATTGATATATTGTGCTCTCTCCAGGGCTATGCCCAGCTAGATTATAAAATTGTCTGTTCCTGAAACGTTTCTTGCGTATATGACAGGGCCTAACACTGGAATCAAGCTCAGGTTGATGAGGGCAGGGCAGTTAAGCACCCGACCCTGGTGGCCTGTGAAATACTTGGGGGAGACAGGGGTTTGTTGTCTAAAGCAGAGGAAGTGAGATTTTCCACTGTGGCTTAGACCAGAGCTTCTGAAATTCCAGTGAGCAAACAAATCCCCTGTGGAGTCTGTTTAAGATGCAGATGCAGCCTCAGCAGGTCTGCGTGGGGCCCCAGAGTCTCTATGTCCAGCAGCTCCCAGGTGAGGCTCATGCTGCTTGTCCTCCAAGAACCACACTTTGAGTGGCTTAACTCCTATTCGCCCTCCTCACTCAAGCACAGGTGAGACTCTGCCAAGGAAGGCACTGTCTGAGAAGCAAAGGTGACCTTCTGTCCTTCCTCCCCTGGTGTTTTAGTCCATGTTCTATTGCCATAAAGGAATATCTGAGGCAGAGAAATTTATAAATTTTAAGAAAGATTTCTTTGGCTGAAGCTTCTGATGGCCGGAAGTTCAAGAGTGGGCATCTGCATCTGTTGAGGGCCTCAGGTTGCTTCCACTCATGGCAGAAGATGAAGGGGAGCCAGTGCGTACAGAGACCAATGGGAGAGAGGAAGCAAGTCTTTTCCTAACAAGAATGCAGGGATGTAATTTAATCATATTTATAAAGTGTTTGACATAGAGCCTGACACACCCAGGTACTCCTAGTTGGCAGCAATTATTACTGTCGTCGCACATGAAAATTGGACCTGGGATGGAGGAAAGGCAGCGCAAACCCTCTGTTTGGGACAAGAGAGACTTAAATAATTTAAAATTGAGGCATAGGAGATAAGGAGAGTATCCCTGGGTGTTCTCCTGCCAATTCTCTCAGCATCTCGGAAACTGTTTCAAGGTGATGAAGTCAACCAGAGAGGGAAGCGGAGGAGTTTGTAGAACCAAGGGTTGCAACTTCATCCATGAGGAGGAGGTGTAGTCAGGGGATTGGGAAGAGGTGGCTGAGCTCATCTGAAGGGTGTCTAAGGTTTTCTGGCCCCCATGTCCTGGCCCATCCCTCCCTGCCCAGGGTCTCACCCCTCACCTGACAGCCCAGAGCTGGAGAGTGGCCTATGATTCTGATTAGAGACCCCACCAAAGCCCAGAGGGGAAGACATGGGTGGGAGGCGTCACAGAAGACAGTTTTCTGCCTGTGGTGTTGGGGCAGTTTCCTGGAAAGGAAATTCAGACACTGTAGGGGAGAAGAAAACACAGGAGAGGAAGGCCCCTCCCCAGGGGATTGTGGCGTTAGAGACCAAAGCATCTTCAAGAAGCCCAGCCCTGCAGGAGGTTCCCTGAGCCCAGAGTTCCTAGAGCTGTCTGTATTATTTTGCCTGGGGTGCCATAAAAAGTAACACAGACTACATGACTCAAAGAACAGAAATTTATTGTCTCACTAATCTTATGGCGATGGTAGAATCTGAGATCAAGGTGTTGGCAGGGTTGGCTCCTTCTGAGGCTGAGGGAGGGTCTGTTTCATGCCTCTCCCCTGGCTTTTGGTGGTGTAGCAGTATTAGCTGTTCCCTGGCTTATAGGTGAATCACCCCAATCTCTGCCTCCATGTTCATATGACGTTTTCTCTCTGTTCATGTCGGTGTCCAAGTTTTTTCTTTTTATAAAAAGACCAGTCCTATTGGATTTGGGGCTCACTCTATTCCAGTATGACCCGATGTTAACTAATCACATCTGCAACCACCCTTTTCCTATGTAAGTTCCCATTCTGAGGTCCTGATGGATAGCACTTCACCATATGAATTCCAGGGGGCACAAAATTCAAATTCCCAACAATGGGCCAGGCACGGTGGCTCTTTGGGAGGATCCCAAATCCCAGCACTTTGGGAGGCCAAGGTGGGCGGATCACATGAGGTCAAGAGTTCAAGATCAGCCTGGCCAACTGGTGAAACCCTGTCTCTAGTAAAAATACAAAAATTAGCTGGGCGTGGTGGTGCGTGCCTGTAGTCCCAGCTACTCGGGAGGCTGAGGCAGGAGAATCGCTTGAACCTGGGAGGTAGAGGTTGCAGTGAGCCAAGATCGTTCCACTGCACTCTAGCCTGAGCGATAGAGTGAGACTTCATCTCAAAACAAAAAACGAATTCCCAACAATGCCTCAGACATGGCTTAAGCTGCCCACTGGGGCTCTGCAGGTGGGATGTGCACCACCAAGCTCTCAGGTGGGGCATTACCTGACAGCCCAGAAGGACTCCGGGCCCTCTGCAAAGTGCCTGATCTCTTGCGCACCTTAAAAGGTAGCTTTTCAGGCTGTTCTTGTTCTTTTCATGCTGACGTAGGAGATTTTATCCTCTGCTTTTTAAGTAGAAGCTTCCTTACCCTCCTCATCATCCTGAGTAGATGCCTAGGCTGGTTTCAGAGAAATCAAACCAGGGTGGATTATGAGTTATATTAGCCACCAGCTGTCAATATTCTCTGAATGCCCAGCATCCATCCATGCTCTCTGACCATCACCAGAGTGAGCAAATCTCTGACATGTGGATAAGAGTTTCTTCCATGGGCTCCCAGCCAGGCTGTAAGTGAGACCAGAATACCCTTCCTTCAGTGCATGGGGCTCAGTGCAGCTGCCTCCCTGACAGTCTCCCTGGGACATTAAGCTTGTCAGCTTCTCTCTTCCAAATGCAGGTCTGGTTGTCCTAAGCCCAGCTCAGCGCTGCTGTGGACTTTGCATCCTAAAAACATTATCAACTCTGCCTTGTGCCTCAGTGGACTGGCCTGGAGGAAACAATATGAGGTGTCCTGGCTCTTTCCACCCCCAGCGTCTCTCTCCCTCAGTGGTACCAGTACGGTCCTCATGACGGTTCATCTATACCTGCCAATCTAGGCCTCCACACTGCCGACTGTGGATGGTCACAGAACCCAAAATGCTAATCAGCCTTAAGCAGATCATGCTAATAGTTTCTGCAGATCTGGGTGCCTCATCCCAGATCTAGGAGTTCACAAGCTAGGCCAGCTCCAGGGAGATAACATGTATCACAGAGTCTGGACACGACAAAGTGGCTTTGCTGTATTTTTGCTGGGACACATGATGGTGATATCAATAAGAACTGGCTCAGGTCCCTGCAGCTTAAGGCCCATTGAACAGGAAAGCAGCCAGGAGGATGTGCTGCCTTTTGACCTGTACACAAATCAGTGCCATGTGCCGACTGTGTGTGAATATCTGTGCCTGTGTGTATATTTGTGTACATGTGTGTATGTATGTGTACGTGTCCAAGTTGGTGTTGCAAGGAAGTGTTCCTACTGTCAAATGTTTCAAACTCAAATCTTTTCTGTTTTCCTAACTTACCTGCTTCTTCTATCTCTAGTGCCTTTGTTCTGCACTAAGAATAAGGATGAAGATTAGGGTAGTAATACTAGCAGGAGGAGTAAAGATTCATATGTGTTTAATACATATCAAGCAGTCTTCCAAGTACTTCATATTTATTAATTCCCTTCATCTCAACAACTCTATGAGTTGTTCATTATCCCTCCGTTTTACAGTTGGGAAATCTATGATACATAGATTTTGAGAAATGGGAAAACTAATGCAGAGAAAAGAAGAATAACATGCCTGATGTCAGAACTAGAAAGTGGCTGACCCAGGAGTAGAATCTCAGGTCTTCTGGCCCCAGAAAACCTGTTCTTAGGCACCATCCTGTCGCCTGTCATTGCATCAATGTGGTAAGGCATTGGTGTGTCTTTAAGGCTCCAGAAAGTTCTTTCTACTTTGTATTTATTTTGTTTTGTTTTTGAGACAGAGTCTTACTCTGTCACCCAGGCTGGAGTGCAGTGGCACCATCACAGGTCACTAAAGTCTCAACCTTCTGGGCTGAAGAGATCCTCTCATCTCAGCCTCCTGAGTAGCTGGGACTACAGGTGAATACTACCATGCCCAGATAATTTTAAAGTTTTTTTGTACAGATGGGGTCTCACTATGTTGCGTAGGCTGTTCTCAAACTCCTGGGCTCAACCAATCTTCCTGCCTGAGCCTCCCAAAGTTCTGCAATTATAGGCATGAGCCACTGTGCCCAACCTTTACTTTTTAAAAGTATCATATTGTGACTTTGAGTGCACCAGCAGTGCTCTAGTGCTGGTCTATTAGAAATGTAATTTTAAGAATATATATATATAATATACAATTTTTTAGTGGCCACATTTAAAAGGTAAAAGAAACAGGTGGAATTTATGTTCATAATATATTGTGTTTAAATGATTTATCCAAAATATTATTTCAGCATGCATTCAGTATTAAAATATTGAGATATTTATTTTATTTTTGTACTAATTCTTTGAAATCTGGTGTGTTTTACTCCTACAGCACATCTTACCTCAGACTACCCATGTTTCCAGGGCTCAGTAGCTCCCTGGGACTCATGGCCGCCATATTGGACACAGCAAGTCCAGATGGATAAAGGTCCATTTGGGTCACAGCCCCTGCAGTACATACTGACAGCTACCTGGGAAGAATGGAGAGTTCCATGACCCAAAGGGCCTCCTGAGGGAGGAATGGCAGCTCTACTTTCCAGCCAAAGCAGGAATATTGAGGGCACTAAGAAACAAGGGAATTTTTACAGTGTGTTTCACACTTCTTCCCTTCTCAAAGACATTAAATATAACTTCAATTTTAAAGGTGAACCTCGGCCATCAAAGGCATGTTTTCTATTGGTCTCTTTCCGGTGGAATGAATGGCAATGGTCCCTGTAAATTGTGCTCCAAGGATCCCTTTCAGTGGGAAGATTCTTGTGATAAGCCCAATAACAAGTAAGAAAGCAATTTTTTATACATAGATCTAGAACAAAAAGGGCTCATGATGAAGAATATTTTATTGAAGCTTAGTGTATTGCTATTTTTCATAAATTGCTGTTTTTGCCTATCCCACAAGCACTGATCACTTTTATGAAGGTACATTCTCCAAGGGTCGTCTTAGCATGTCAGGACCCACAAGCAAAGGTGTTACAAGTGACCTGCACGAGTGGCCAGCAGGACACCTGGAGGAGCCCAGTGAGATGAGGAGTGGATGCGCATCAGGTGGGAAGGCATGGAGAAGCTGTGTGCCACACACTCACCAAGGACAGGAGCGGGCGTATTTGTGGCCTGTGGCCTAATCTTAGGTCAGTTACCTCTTTAGACTAAATCCCAAGGAGTCAGCACATGGAGGTTTCGGTCCGTGCACATGGCACCTACAGGGCTTCACATGACGTTGCTAATTACAATGCAGCGGCACTTACAAAGGAATTAGTTTCATCACATCCTCAGCAGAACTAGGTCTAAAAACCAATATATATGTATAGGATATCAGGTGAGAAATACTTTCTTGCCAATCATGTGTATTAACGTTAAAGTGGTTCAGTATCTAGTGTGACAGTTGTTCAGGCTTAGTGGCCTTGACCACGTCAAAAATGGAATCCTGATCCTAACTTGTCTAGAGATTAGCCTGGCACAAGGAGCATGACCAGGCATCTGGATGTCCCCAGTGTCACTGCAGACACATGCTCCTTTTTCATCTGCCAGAGGGAGCATTAGGATGTCCTCACCTCTGTCCCCAGAACTCAGGAAGGGCAGTACACCTGACTAAAGAGTAGAGGGTTGTGAAAAGAGGGACCTAGGGCACTGGATAAGCAGGAGGAGAAGGAGCACTGGGTGGGAGGTAGAGAAAGGAGGGGGCTGAATGGTTAGGCTCTGAGGTGTGTCTCCTGGATGGAGTCTTGGATTCCACTCACTACCATCTGAGAACTTTGAGAAAACCGTGTAACCTCCTGATGTTGGGTCTCTTGTCAGTAGACATCAGTGCTTTCCTGATGTATAGGGTTACTGTAGAATTATAATGAATGCCTGGTTGAGGTGACATGTCTAATACACCCTCCAAAGCATCAGGCATATATTAAGTACTCATAAGCAGGCATTCTGTGTGAACTAGTCATACATGGAAGATGACATTCCCCGTGTGGGCACAGTAGGATGCTGTGGACTTTGGTTTGGGGACCCTAATAACTTCAAGTCCCCTGGTAGCACCCAAGTGTAAAAGGCAAAGGGCATGACTGGTGCTTCCTGTGAGGCCTCTTCTATTTGGTAAAATTCACTCTCCACTCATCGCACCCACCTGGCCTTTATTCTAAACTTGGAAAATTGCTAACATGAAGGTCTCAGCCTCAGGGCTCAGATAAGAACTCAGACACATCAATAGAGAGGATGGCTGAGGTGCTTGGCCGAGCTCAGTGAACACCCCAGAACAGGAACTGAGGAGTGTATGCATGTGTTGGGGGCAGCACTTTCTCACTCATCCAGAAAGTGTGAGGAATCTGTACAGAACTGGGGACAGGGCCCATTTTTATACCCTTCTATAAGCCCAGCCCTTGTCTGCTCACTAGGGAGCCATTCACCAAGGCCACAGGAGGGAAGGAAGTAGATTTGCATGAAGAGCATCCCCTTCCTATGTTAAGAGAGGCCTGGAGGCCCCTTCCCAGCTGTGGACTCAGAGGCAGAGCTCTGGGGCATCTCCACCATGGCCTGGACCCCTCCCCTGCTCACCCTCCTCACTCTCTGCACAGGTGCTGCCTCCTAGGGCTCAGCCCCCACAGGACCAAGAATCAGCCTGGCCCTGACATTCAGCTCAGCACAGGGAGTAATGCAGGGTGTGGGGCTCTGGAAATGAGACCCTTATCTTCAGACTCACCTCTTCTCTCTTCTCTTGCAGGCTCCGTGGTTTCCTCTGAGCTGAGTCAGGAGCCTGCAGTGTCTGTGGCCTTGGGATAGACAGCCAGGATCACCTGCCAGGGAGACAGCATAGAAGACTCCGTTGTAAACTGGTACAAGCAGAAGCCAAGCCAGGCCCCTGGGCTGGTCATCTAACTTAACAGTGTCCAGTCTTCAGGGATTCCTAAGAAATTCTCTGGCTCCAGCTCAGGGAACATGGCCACCCTGACCATCACTGGGATTCAGGTTGAAGACAAGGCTGACTATTACTGTCAGTCATGGGACAGCAGTCGTACTCATTCCGCGGTGACACAGGCAGAAGGGGAAGTGAGACAAAAACCTTTTCTCCATCTGTCACACTCTTTCTTCAGCTCCAGGAAAAAACTGTGGACAAATTCATGAGCAGGTCTTGCCCTGTTCACCCAGATATGAGACCTTGAGGCTGCCCTTCCCTCCAGGTCTCCAGGTAGGCTATGAAAAGGGTGAATCAGGAGTCAATACACACACAATTATTATAATTTTATTCTTGTTTGAAGAAGAAGTAGAGGAATAATTGAACATGTAAAGTGAAAACATGGAAAACCGAAAAAGAGGAATTATTGAACTTGTAAAGATGAAAACTACAATGTCTGAAATTTAGAAAATACACTGGGTGAGTTTGACAACAGAAAAAAGATTAGCTGCAAAAAAAAAGATTAGCTGCAAAAAAAAAGATTAGCAAATTGTATAATACAGCAGTAGAAATTGTCCAAGATGAAACACATATGGGAAAAATAATTATGGAAATTAATGATAGAAAGGAACAGAGTATCAGTGAGTTGTAGGACAACTTCAAACAGCCTAAAGTATGTGTAATTAGTGTTTGAAATAGAAATGGGTGGAGGAGAAATAGAAAAAAGTATTTGCATAAATAATGGCCAAATATTTTTCACCTTTGGTGAAAACCATAAACTGAAATATCCAAGAAGCTCAACAAAATTCAAGTATAGGAGACATGAAGGAAACAACTCCAACATAAATCATAATCAAATTAATAAAATCCAGTGATGAAGAGTCACCTAAATAATAATGCTAAGAGCAGTTCTCATTAAAAGCAATGCAAGAAAGAAGACGGCGGAGCAATGTCTTGAAAACACTAAAAGAAGAATCCTGTCAACCTTGAATTCTTTTTCTTTTCTTTTCATTTTCTTTCTTTCTTTTTCTTTTCTTTTCTTTTCTTTTTTTCTTTATTTTTTTTTTTTGAGACAGGGTCTTACTCTGTCACCCAGGCTGGAGTGCAGTGGCACAATCTCAGTTCACAACATCCAGGGCTTACATGATCCTCCCACTTCAGCCTCCCAAGTAGCTGGGACCACAGGCGTGCAACACTATGCCCAGGTAATTTTGTATTTTTTGTAGAGATGAGGTTTTACCGTGTTGCCCGGGCTGATCTCAAACTTGTGCACTTAAGCAATCTGCCCGCATCAGCTTCCCAAAGTGCTGGGACTCCAGGTGTGAACCACTGGGCCTGCCAACCTTGAATTTTTTTAATAAAAACAAACAAACAAAAACTTTCAAAAAAGGAGACAAAATAAACCCTTTCCAGACATATGCCAAATTAAAGAATTGGTTGCTATCAGACTCTTACAATTAGAAATGGTCAAGGACATCCCTAGACAGAAGGAAAATGATACCACAATGAAATGTGAATTTATACCGAAAAATGAAAACATCAGATATAGTAACCACAAGGATAAACATAGAAACCTCTGAATTGTGTTAATGTCTAATAAAGATAATTAACACTTCAAAGAAAAGCTAACGTAAATACATTGTGATTTGTAATGAAAATGAAAGTAAATTATGTGACAAAGCACAAAAGCTGAAGGGATGAACAACATGTTATAATGGTCTTATACTATATGTGAATATATAATAACACTTGAAGGTAAACCTTGATAAGTTATATACGTACTGTAAACCCAAGCAATCATTAAGATCAACTTTTTTTTTTTTTTTTTTTTTTGGAGTCTGGCTCAGTCGCCCAGGCTGGAGTGCAGTGGCACGATCTTGGCTCACTGCAAGCTCCGCCTCTTGGGTTCACGCCATTCTCCTGCCTCAGCCTCCCAAGTAGCTGGGACTACAGGCACCCACCACTACGCCCGGCTAACTTTTTTGTATTTTTAGTAGAGACAGGGTTTCACTGTGTTAGCCAGGATGGTCTCGATCTTCTGACCTCGTGATCTGCCCGCCTCGGCCTCCCAAAGATAAACCCTTTTAACAGAAATAATTATGGCTAGTAAGCCATATTAGAGTTCTCCACAGAAACAAAATCAATAGGATATGTATGTGTGTATATATGTATAATGTATATATGTGTATATGCATGTGTACATATAATGTATATGTGTGTATATACATATCTAGGTACATATATATGGAGAAGAAATTGGTTCATACAATTGTGGCTGACTAGGATGAAATCTACTGGGCAGGCTGAAGGCTGGACATTTAGGTAAGAGTTGATCTCGCAGTTTTGAGTCTGAATTCTGCAAGGTGGGACTTCAGGAATCCTCAGTATTTGCTCTGAAAACCTTCAGCTCATTAATGATGCCCACATGCATTGTGGAGAGCAGTGTGCTTATATAAAGTCTACAGATATAAATGTTAATCACATCTGAAAATTATCTTCGTGCCAACTTCTATACTCGTATTTGACAAAATCAACTAGGCACTATACCTAGTCAATCTAACACTTAAAATTAAACATCACTTAAACCAGCAAGGAGATAAAAAGAAATAATTTTTAAAAATCAGTCAAAAAAAGGAAACAGAAAAAGGGAAGGAGAAGCAATGAACATATGGCACAAATAGAAAATGAAGGGCAAGTTGGCATATTTCAACCAAATTATGTTACTAATCACATTAATTGTAAATAGTCTAAATATCACAATTAAAAGGCAGAGATTGTCATGTTGAAATGAACAAGACTCAACTATACATGCTGCCTAGAAAAAAAACCACTTCAAATTATAAAACCACAAAAATCCAAGTACAAATTAAGGACAATTCCCCCCACTCCCAAGTCTGTTTCACAAAGCAGTACAAAGAAGGATTCACAGTAAATTTTTTTTTTTTGAAGTCTTACTGTGTCACCCAGGCTAGAGTACAGTGGCACCATCTTGGCTCACTGCAACCTCCACCTTCCAGGTTCAAGTGATTCTCCTGCCTCAGCCTCTGGAGTAGCTGGGATTGCCTGCCACCATGTCTGATGAATTTTTGTAGTTTTAGTAGAGACAGGGTTTCACCGTGTTGGCCAGGCTGGTCTCGACCTTCTGACCTCAAGTGATCCGCTGGCCTTAGCCTCTCAAAGTGCTGGGATTACAGGTGTGAGCCACCATGCCCAGCCCACAGTGAACTCTTAACACACAGTTATAGAAATATGCATCACCTCTCCCATCACCCTTTCCTCTCTCTGGCTTCCAAAACCTTGGTTCTGGTACCAGAGCTGAGGGAAAACATTCCACAGAAATATTAAATCAAGGTGAAGAAGGGAGATTCTCAAGATGTAAGTAAAAGGCAAATGAGGGAATGGAAGTCGCAATGCCCTTGCATGCATAAGGACAGCTCCTGCATGAGAATGTTGTTTGAAACATTACCGAGGAATTGGTGTCCATGTTCATGCAGGACATAGGTCTATAGGATATTTTTGTCATGCCTTTGTCGGGCTCTGGTATCAGAGTAATTCAGGCCTCAAATAGGTAGTAGGGAAATGTTTGCTTCTCCTCTATATTCTGAAGGAGATTGTGTATGATTGGTGTCATTTCTTCCATAAAAACTTGATAGAATTTACCAGTGAAGTCATTTGTACTAGGTGGGCTTTTCTTAGCAGGAAGATTTTAAATTGCTAATTCAATATATTTATGTGTCATAGATCTATTCAGATTTTCTCCTTTATGAATCGATTTTGATAATTTATGTATTTCCAGATACTTATCCACTTCATTTAAGTCATCCATAATTTTGGCATTTATTGTTCGCATTATTCCCTATAACCATTGTACCTTTTGTAAGGTCAGTGGTGATGTCACTCTTTAAGTCATGGTTTTGACAATTTGGGTCAGGAGAAGATTTGGAGGAGGAGAGAACAAGGTTGTCTTGATGTTGTCTTGGCTGGAGTGTGACTTGGAGAAAAATGACTTGAATGAAAATACAGTCAGAGGGAGATATCTGTCAAGTGGTTCTGGTGCCTGGATTTCCACATGTGTGGTGACGGAGCCCAGCCCAGTGCTCTACTCATGCCCAGATGTCCTGGATTATTCCCCTGAAATACTCAGGTGAAGCTCCAGCTACACCATGGCATCCTGATATTTTAAACAGAGAAGACCAGTGTCATGGGCACTGGTGATCTGCTCCTCAGGGCAGACTCACTAACCGTGGCAGCTGGGAATCCCAGGGGCCTCACAGCTCTCACTAACCGTGGCAGCTGGGAATCCCAGGGTCCTCACAGCTCTCACTAACCGTGGCAGCTGGGAATCCCAGGGCCCTCACAGCTCTCACTAACCGTGGCAGCTGGGAATCCCAGGGCCCTCACAGCTCTTTTCTCCCTCAAATTGCTGCTGGCTACAGAGAACTGCCTCCACCAAGGGCATGCCCCTTTCACAGTGTGGCTCAGGCCTAATAACTGCATGAGACTGAAATACCAAGGCCCTGTCTCAGGTTAGGATGACCTTGCAGGGCCTCCCAGATGAGTCCTCAACTGGAGTCAGATTTCAGGCTGCCCAGTTGTGCCCCCCCATACTTCCTTCCAGAGCGAATATCTCCAAACACTACTGTATGCAATTTTCCCTCTCAGAGTCTGATTCCAGGGAACACAAAATAGAAAACAGTCTACAAGGAAGAGTACGGAAGAAGAGAGAGCAGCACAGAGACAGGACTCTGGAATCTGCAAATATTCCTGAGCACTGATGATCCCATGAGTGGAAGGAAAATACTTAAGGCCAAGAAAAGAACCACCCAAAGACATTTGAGGGAACAATTGCAGGGCATGTGCATGCGCGTGTGTGCGCACACACACACTCACACACACACACACACACCATCAGAATAGAGTTTGTTCCTACAACCAGTGTGGAAATGTGTCTAATCAGAGGCATCAGGTTAACTAATCAGAATTTCTCTGCCCTGGCTGAGCAAAGTGGCTTACACTTGTAATCCCAGCAATTTGGGAGGCTGAGGCAGGAGGATCACTTGAGGCCAGGAGTTCGAGACCAGCCTGGGCAACATTGTGAAACCCCATCTCTACAGAAAACTTAAAAAATATAGCTAAGCATGGGGACATGCACCTGTAGTCCTAGCTAATCAGGAGGTTTTAAGCATGAGGACTGCTTCTTGAGCCCAGGAGTTCAAGGCTGTATTGAGCCATGATCTCGCCACACAGTTTCAAAAAAAAGAAAAGAAAAGAGAAAAAAAAATGAATAAGAAAAGCTCTGCCTTAGTATAGGGGGAACTAACTATAGACTAAAATCTGCTCCTATCCCTCCTAGGACACCGTAAGAGCAAGTTCAGAAAGGAACATACTCTCTTCAAGAAACCCTTCTGAATCAAAGAAGACAAAAATATGTGGAGAAATATAAAAATATCATGCACCTAAAAAGCAAAACTTCACGATGTCTGGCATCTTATTACAATAGCAGGACAACGTGAGTCAGAAGTAAAAAAGTTGGTCAGCGCATCATGGCCCTGAAATTGCACAGGTAATACACTTTCTAGACCAGAACAAAAAGCAGTTGTTGTAACTGTAATCCATTTGTCCTGGAGGGTAGAGTATTGATGGAACAAGTTAAATGGAGACATGAAAGACATTTAAAAAACACCTACATTTAAGTCCTAGAAATGACCACAGAAATATATGAAATCAAAGTACTTTGAATGAGATTGCTGGTATATTACATGCTGAAAAAGAAGAGATTAGTGAATCTGATGATATAGTAATGAGAACTATTCAAAATGAAATATGCAAAACTACTGAAAATGACAAGAAAAGAGCATCGTTGAGTTATGGGACAACTGCATGCCAATGCAACCTAAAATAACGTAATTTGTGTTACTGAAAAAAAGAAGTTGGTGGGGGTAGGGGAGTATATAGAAAAACTACAAAACAAAATAATGACTAAAAATGATCCAAATTTTGTGAACATCATAAGCCATCCATTTTCACGAAGCTCAACCAGCCCCTGACAAAATATATTTTAAAATATAAATACGTTAAGATAACAATACCAACACATATCATAATCAAATTGCTAAAGCACAGTGATGAAGAGACACTCTTAAAAGCAGCCAGAAAGAAAAGACATGTTAGATATAATACTAAGAGCAGAGTTCTCATTAGAAGCAATGCATGCAAGAAGACAGGTAGCTACATCTTTATAATATTAAAAGGAACAACTGTCAACCCTGCAGTCTTTACCCGGTGAAATATCTCTCAAAAATGAAGGCCAAATAAAACCTTTTTCAAATAAATAAAACTTACAGAATTGATAAATCACAAGCCGTCACTAAAAGAAATGATGAAAGACATCCCTCATACAGAACAAAAATTATACCAGATAGAAGTGTGAATCTGCACAAAGAATGAAAAGCATCAGAAATGGTGACTACATGGATAAATATTTTAATAGTGCATAATGTAGAAATAAAAGGGCTTGAACAGCACTATAGAACAACTAGACTTAACCGATGCCTGTAGAACTCTTCAAGCAACAAAAGCAGAATGCACATTCTTCTTGCATGCACATGGAACATTCTCCAGAAAAACCGTATAAAACAGATTGATAATTTTTAAAAAGATAGAAATCACACAAAGTATGTTCCCAAAACAATGTCATTAGAGAAATCCAAAAAATTGAGGGAAGACCATGAAAACTGCATGAAAAAAATTGAGATGAATGGACAAATCACTAGAAATACAAATTCTATTAGAAGTGACTCAAGAAGAAATAGAAAACCCGATTAAAACTATAGAAAGAGATTAAGTTAATAATAATAAGAAAAGCCTTCCCATAAGGAAAGGCCCAGACACAGAGGGCCTCACTGGTGACTATTACCAAATGTTTAAAGAAGAATTAATATAATTTATCATTAAACTTTTCCAAAATATAAAAGAGATAAAATCACTTGCCAACTCTTTCTCTGAGGCCAATATTACCCTGATACCAAAACCAGACAGAGCCATTACAAGAAAAGATAAATACAGAGCAATGACCTTACTGGATATAGATACTAAAGTCCTTAACAAAATACCAGAAAATGTAATCTAACAAGATATAAAAAGAAGTACATACAATAACCAAGTGGTGTTTATCCGAGGAATGCAATGATGGTTTAACATCTGTAATTGAATTAATTAATAGAAGGCATCGTATTAATAGAAGAAAGGACGAACCATATTGTCATCTCAAAATCACTTAAAATGTTTTCATGCAAGCAGACTTTCTTTCTTGCTGTTTTTAGGCCATCATGAGAAGTGGAGATGGCATGGGGTAGTATTTCATGCAAAGAATCTGGATATTCCATACTCAACTGTGAGGATACTTTCTGATAAATGTAAAAGATTGTAATATTACGTTTCTGTATGTTCAGAGAACACTTCCTAGACAAGATATGTGTACAGAACCGAAAGGACAATTAGGATTTTGGCAGGCATTGAGTGAGGAGTGGAGTCACTGCAAGTGTCAGTCAGAGAACAAGAAAGATGTTAGGAACCATGTATTTCTACCTGGCCATCCTACTGGGATACCATCCCCTTCCTAACACATCACCCATGTGGCTTGTAAAAATGTCCATACTTGAAACATTTTGTCCACATAATTACAGGTCTAGTGCTGGAATCAAGTTCCCTTTGATGACATCAGGACAGTTAAAGGATCTGCGTGTCTAACTGCCCCCAGGTGATGCTAACATTGCTGCCCTCTGAGGACCACAAGCAAAGTAGCTCAGCTCCTGACCTCCTGCTCCCAGCACAGGTGAGATGCACCTCAGCTACATCTGTGAAGCCCAGGAGACTTTCTCTCCCTCCTCAGGCTCCCTGGAGTGATGACCCAGGACTCATGCCTCTGCACATTTATCCTTTCCCTCAGAGTTTGGGGCCTTATCAGTCCTGTTACATCTTCTCAGCATCTGAAACCACTGGAGAGGTGGTCACCATCTCCTGTGCTGACACAGCAGTGACATTGGGGGTTATAATTCTGTCTCTTGGTAACAAAAGCAACAGGGAAGAGCCCCATATGACTGAGGGGTGAGATCAGGAAAAAGCCTCAGAGATTCCAGTTCTAATCTCAGGCCGTTCTTTGTATTCTTTTATGAGCTAGTTAGTCAGCTGGTCAGTCAGCTGTGGCCACAAGAAGAAATGGAAGAGAGGTTCAGAAAACAGCCCTAGAGACCATAGACCCAGAGCTCTAGAGACAGCAGGCCCAATGTGCTACACAGGGCCACAGGGAAAGGCATCAGGTTCATTAGAAGACAGAAGACAGGAGGGCAGGGGATCCCTTAGACCATGACTTTTATCAGAATTTCCTCAGGAAAAGCAGGGCAAGCTAAAAAATTTATGATTGGCCAGCCTGAATAATGTCAGCAGGCTTTGGGCTACTAAGGTGGTCTCTAGCTGCTTGGTACCTGGCCCTGGGACGATAAAGGCAGAGGAATATTGTATCCTGGGATGCACAAACCAGACAGGGGTGGTGAGGCTCTGAACACGTTAGTTTCCATATGAAAGGCAGGCTTCTGGCTGAGCCCATTGCTCTTTCAAGGAATAGAGAACTGGGGAGACCCAGGAGGGGTGGTCTTTTCCCAGACAGAAATGTTTTTTAAGATGTCAAAATATCAAAATATATAGAAAATTATATACAGTTGACCCTTGAATAACATTGGTTTGAACTGCATGGGTCCATTGATTTTCTTCTGCCCCTGTCACCCCTGAGACAGCAAGATCAACCCCTCTTCTTGCTCTTCCTCTTCAGCTACTCAACCCGAATATAAAAAAGATAAAATCCTTTATGACGATTCAGTTCCATTTAATGACTAGTAAATATATTTTCTCTTCCTTATGATTTTTAAAATAACATTTTCTGTTCTCTGGCTTACTTCATTATAAAAAATACTGTATATAATATACATAACATACACAATCTGTGTTAATTGACTGTCTAAGCTAGGCCTGGCTCTGACCCTGATCCTGGGAGACACTTTAGGCAGATTACTCTGGAAATAAGTCCCTCAGTCTCTGACCATCTCTCTCTCCTCGGCGGGTTCTCTGTCCTCCCATGGGAGCTCAGTGCCCATGGTGCAGACAGCCCCTCTCAGCTGCTCAGGACCAAGTAGGGAAGCTCTGCTCTGTCTTGGTACCCGCAGAACCCAGGCTGGTGCCCATGCTGGGACTTTAATGTGGTGACAAAACTCCTCATGCAGTGCTGATTGATTCTCTGACAGTGTCTAGGAATGTAATTCCCCTGACCAGGGGACAGGTTGAGGATGAGTTTCAGGGGGGATGACAACAAGACTTCCAATGACACAGCCACAGGGAGAATTGAGATGCACAATCTGCTGTCCCCAGCCTGGATCACACGCTCCCCCTGCATTTAGGAAAGTTGCTTAGAATTAGGCTGAAGAGGTCAGGATTCAGTTTTAACATTGACCTCTCTCTCATTTTCTCTTTTACTCTCTTTTCTCCTTCTCTCTTCCTCTCTCTTTCTTTCTCTTTCTCTATGATACTGAAGCCCTTATTCACCCCCATTCTCAGCTATGAAATGGACATGGAACCCTGACATCGTGAGTTTCCTCAAGGATCACAGGAGTGGAGTAAAGATCTGAGCCCTGTCTCCAGGTGTCCTCAAGGGTCTACATCACAGGCTCCTCCATCCTGCTCTTCCCTTACACAGGGGCTCCCCTCAGATCCTGCCCATGCCTAAATTTAGGCCCCATTTCTTTGAGACCTGTGGACACTTCATCCTGAGGTTCCTGAGGGTTTTTCTCCCTGCTGACGGGAGATCCCACTGATCACATGGTCTGCTTGTTGTTTCTCAATCCTGGAGCACAGCTGCAAGTGTCACCTGAGACACGGCCAATCCCCCATACAGGACAGCAGTGAAGGTGGAAGAATCCCAGAGTGACCGGGTACCGTCATTCATTCAAATTCCATGGGGCTCTTGCTGCATCACTGGGTGTCATCCTTTGGGAACCTGGACTTCTAAACTATAAGACTCAGAGTTAGAAAACAGAATCATAAATTCCCCATGTAAGCCACTACTTCCACCCCTGGTCCTGGACTCAGATATGTTACTAATGAGGAACACAGTTCCTCATAGTGGCTGCTGATTGAGGACATGGTGGGCAAACTGTGGTTGATGGACACATCTGTCTTGCATCCTGCATTGGAACACAGTCTTGCTCATGTCTTTATGAGTGACATGTGGCTGTTTTCATGCTGCAATACAAGGCTTGGTTGTGGTGACAGAGATCCTATGGTCTGAAAATCTGAAATACTATACTAAAGGTCCCATACTGTATCATGTCTTCTACATGAATTATCTACAATAGACAAATCCATGCAGGCAGAAAGAAGATGAGTGGTTGCCCAGAATTGGAGAAGGTGATGAAAGAGGAGAGGCTGCTCACTGGGTGCAGAATTTTCTTTTGGGTGATGAAAATGTAGGAGAACTACACACACAGCTGGTGGCTGCCCAACAAAGTGAAGGTGCTAAGTGCCACTGCGTTGTACATTTTGAAGTGATTAATTCTAGGTTATATGAATTCCACACAATACAAAACTATGATTTTCAGAAATTGACTGTTATAATTGTGTTATTATATCTACAACTTTATGATGGCACTAAAGGACCATGAGCAGTCAATGCAAAGGATCCAGACAATATTTCAAGGGCTCTTCCAGAGTAACAAGACATGAAAAGGCAGCTCTGGTTCTCTCTTGCCTGGCGTATTTTACCCTCGGAGTTTTTTGTTTTTTTGTGTTGTTGTTGTTGTTGTTGTTGTTATTGTTGTTGTTGTTGTTACAGAGTCTCGCTCTGTCGCCCAGGTTGGAGTGCAGTGGCGCGATCTCGGCTCACTGCAAGCTCTGCCTCCCGGGTTCACGCCATTCTCCTGCCTCAGCCTCCTGAGTAGCTGGGACTACAGGCGCCCGCCACCGCGCCCGGCTAATTTTTTGTATTTTTAGTAGAGACGGGGTTTCACCGTGTTAGCCAGGATGGTCTCGATCTCCTGACCTCGTGATCCGCCCGCCTCGGCCTCCCAAAGTGCTGGGATTACAGGCTTGAGCCACCGCGCCCAGCCAACCCTCGGAGTTTTTATGAGCACCGAAGGGTGCAGGGAGCTGGAAGCTACCCACCAGGTGCCTGGCTCACTCATGTCTGGGTGCAGCAGCTCCCCCAACAGGCAGCTGGCAGAACTGAAAGGGAAGAGCTATATCCTTCTGAGCCCCCACAATTGTGGTGCAGGATTGTTCCCGACACTCCCATCCAGTCTGCTTGCTCCTGCACACTTAGAAATGATCATTATTTCTGCCCAGGACCTCCCTGGTCTTGCTCTCCCCTCTTCCTCCCCAGGCGACCTTGGGAACTTTACTCACCCTCTGGCCCTTCCCTCCTCTGTCCAGTGTTTTCCCCACCCACTGTGATCAGCTCAGATCAGCGAGTCTGTGGGACATTAGGGATCAGTCACCCATGTGAGGCCCTCGACGGGGTCCCAGGATGGAGCAGTGTATGTCCCCACAAGGCTGCTTATTGCACAAGTAATGGAGGAACAAAGGGGTGGGTAAGCCCCCTCCTGGGCAGCTTCAGACCCTGCTAAAATAGGAAACAGCCTGGGGCAGGTCTGACCCCACTTGTGTCTCTCCTGCCCCCACCCCAGCAGCAGCGTCCTGGAGGCCATACCATGTGCTAAGCAGATGCCAAGATCACGTCATTCATCATCACCTGGAAATTCCCCTAACCACACCTTAATACGCTGCACTCGTGCCTCAGCTAAAAGTATCACACACTGCATTGCAATGAGTTTGGATCCCAGACCCCCTTGATGTTTGTCACTGCTCTTTCAGATCCTCGAAAACACCTACCCCTCCCTGCAGGTCAGTGACAGACTCTTCTTCCTCACACTTCCTTTCACTGTTTCTTCCTTCCTGAGAGCAGCTCCAGAGACTCCTCTTCAGGGAGGCGCCCCAACCTCTGATTACACAGCAGTCTGCCTGTCATTTTCTGTGTATGCATTCTATTAATGATCTGCAGAGCACCTAAACTTCATGCCTCTTTTCCTAACATGTTTATTAATTGATTTTCTGGTGCTAAATACTCCTACAATCAATCAAAAATGCTTCTCCTCTGCTTGGACACTCATGAGAAACAGTCATGAACCATTTGCTATTTTATCCTCAAAAAGTAAGTGTGGAGTTCACTGCTGTTCCCCACATACTCACCAAATAATGAGAAACCCAGCAATTACCCAACTTTCTGCTCCACCATCATGACACAGTAGGCTTTTCTTTCATTTGTGTGGACTTAAGACCTCAGGATGGCTGCTGCAGCTCCAGCTATTATACCCATATTCAAGAGCAAAGGTGCTGCACGAAAACAGTCTGTTTATTTCCATCACAAGAGAAAATGTTCCCTGAGAAGATCTCCAACCACCTGACCCTTACAGCCCTGGGGCCAGCATGGGACCATGTGGTCAGTCCAAGCCAAGAGTGACCAGGGAAAACAAGGATCTTTTTGTAAATAAATAGAGGAGAAAATACACAGGTAGAAGATGGTGCTTCTACTACAAACTGTTTCTATTACACAGCCCCAACCCCCATGTAGGAAACTCCTGGGGTCAGAGACAGTCTTTCTCGTGCTGAATTCCCAGGATGGAATATTGCCGGATCAGAGTGGGTCTCAATAAATACTGGCTGGGTGGATATGCTCCTGCCTTTGTTTTTGGGGCAGGAGCCACCACTGCCTCATGTTTTTCTACACCTGGAGCCATGAAACTTGGTGTCTGAGGTCTGCGGCACTATATGCAGAGCCTTGGTAAGATGCACTGGACCACTTACCAACCCAGTGACAGTAGAGGGATGTCTTAGGTGGGCCCTACCCATTTTCCTCCAATAGGACGTGCTCATAATTTCATGGGTAACCGAGCCCCTTATGCCTGGTATTGAGGCATATAAGGCCAAATAAAGAAGAGGAATTCCTCTCTTGGAACCAGCAGTCCATGGACAAGGGAATCAGGGACCTGAGCAGCAGGTTCTGAATCCACACCTGATCTGGGGCAGGACCCAGAACCTATCAAAGTCTTCTGCTGTTAACTATAGAATGGGCTCACAAAATGCAGACAGAATGATCTGTGAACTCCACCTGGCCTGGCTAGCTGAGAACCAAGGCCAAGACATAGTTTAAGGTAAAGATGTTGGCCCAGACTTTGGGACCAGCAAGTGAAGGAGAATTCTGTGGGCTGAGGTGGGTCTGTAGGGTCCTCCCCTCCCCTCTCTGTGTCCCTTGGGGCTGAGCCCTTCTCTGGAAACTACAAAGCTACTCCAGTAGCAGCCCCTGATTCTGCTGACTTGCATCACGGGCCGCTTTCTCCATCAAGGGGATAAGAGAGGCCTGGGAGAAACCTACCCGCCCTGGGCCACAGGAAGCAGCATCAGGGATGTCTCAGTCATGGACTGGACCTTTCTCAGCCTCCTCGCTCACTGCACAGGTGCTGCCGCCAGAGTCCCAGCCACCCGCCCAGCCCCGGGCTGTGGGACCAGGCTGGCCTTGATTGTGAGCTCAGCAGGGCTCTGCCTGTGGTGGAAAGGATGCTCATGACCTTGCTGCAGGGTGAGGGGCTGGTAAGGTTGAAATCTTCCTGTACTCCTGTGCTCATGGGCACTCTGAGGGGCACAGTCAGGCTCCCTTTCATCCCAGAAGCTCTGTCCCAGCCAGGCAGGTGCAAAGGAATCCTGAGGATCAGCTCCTCAGCTTCAAGCCTTTTCTCCCTCATCTCCTGCAGGTTTCATGGCCACATATGAGCTGTCTCAGCCACCCTCAGTGTCAGTGGCCCCATTACAGATGGCCAGGATCACCTGCTGTGGAAATACTGTTGGAGGTGGATATGTTTATTGGTACCAGCAGAAGTCAGGCCAGACCCCTGTGCCGGTCATCTATAAAGACAGCAAGTGGCCCTCAAGGACCCCTGAGTGATTCTCTGGCTCCAACTTGTGGAACACAGCCACTCTGACCATTAGTGGGGCCCAGGCCAGGGACGAGGCTATTACTGTAGCACCTATGATGGCTGAGGGAGCAGCAGGCAGTGGCTCACAGTGAAACAGACAGATGGGGATGTGGGACAGGAACCTCTAATATAACTAGGCTCAATATCTCACATCCTCTCTAAGCCAGGATGTCCAACATTTTGGCTTCTCTGGGCCACATTGGAAGAAGAAAAATTGTCTTGGGCCACACATAAATACATTAACACTAACAATAGCTGATGAGCTTAAAAAATTGCAAAAAAATCTCATAAAGTTTTAAGAAAGTTTACAAATTTATGTAGGGCCACGTTCAAAGCCATCCTAGGCTGCATGTGGCCTGCAGGCTGCAGGCTGGACAAGCTTGCTCTAAGCAGTGACCATGACTTTGGTCTCAGTTCACTCAGGTGGTTTCTCATGGTAGCCAAAGCAGCAGGAGAAACTGTCGGATTTCTATTTAACCATGAATTTTACAATTACATTCATTGTAAATCCAAACATCTTGTCCCTTTATTACCTGGGCCCTACAGAGACTAGTGCACAGGTTCATGGGATAAGAAATGTCTCCAGAGAGCTTGGTTTCTGCACTAGAGACAGTCGTTTCCCTCCCTTTCAACACAGAGTGTGGCAGGAAAGGAACCAGTTCTCTGAGCTAACCCTGAGAACTTGGGCTTGAGAAAAAGAAAGCATTTTGAACCAGTAGGATTGTGCCCACAGAATGAGATGTGCTACTCTGGCCCAGCCCAACTCCTTTCATTTCAGGAGCTCTGTCTGGGCCAGGCAGGTGCAATGGAATCCTAGGGATCAGCTCCTCAGTTTCAAGCCTTTTCTTCTCTGGGTGTCTGAGAACAGGAGTTGTCTTGCACGTGCACATGAGAAAGAAGTGCACACACGACTCTCAGGTGTGAGCAGCAAAGACAGAACAAACCTTTCCAGAAGGGGCAAATTTCATTAAGATGACAGGGCCTTGTTACACAACCCCACATGTCTGGACTGGGATCTCCTATTGGATCTTGCCATAAATGCAAGGTTTCTTCTCCCATCATAAATTCCTGCATTGCAGTAGACCCAGCTGGGTTCTAGGGCTCAACCAGCAGGGCACTCCCACCACTGTGTGGACCTGCTGCAGAGCCTTCCTGCTCTAGGACCCACAGACATGCAACTTTTCTTTGTTTTTGCTATTTGGGTTGGAGCAACATCCCAAGAGTGAATAATGCTTCTTCCAGAATCCATCATGACCATATATACTTCTTGATGCGAAGTTAGGATGTAATAATGTGTCCTTTTTTTCTATGGGAGGTGCTCAGCTGTTCCAAACAAGAAGACCCTAAACATTTCTGCTCATATGAAGGATGACTCCCTAGGTTTGCTTTCCTATTCTCTGAATGCATGGGTCTCCCCAAATCTTCCAATGACCTTTCACTGCATGCACATCTCATCCAAATACCACCACATGGTGGATGCTTGGGCATGGTAGCGGGTGCCTGTAATCCCAGCTACTTGGGAGGCTGAGACAGGAGAATCACTTGAACCCAGGAGGCAAAGGTTGCAGTAAGCCAAGATTGCACCACTGCACTCCAGCCTGGGTGACAGAGCAAGACTTGGTCTCAAAAAAAAAAAAAAAAAAAAAAAGAAAGAAAAGTTTATATTTTTGTTCTAATGGTTATCTTAATATCTTCATTCTATAATTATATGTTTTATATAATTATAATAGCTATATAAGATATAATACCCCTAGTATGTTGTTTTTTGGATATTCTACTTGCTCCTGATGGTTAATTTATGTGTCAACTTGGCTAAGCTATGGTGTCCCGTTGTTTGGTCAAATACTTGTCAATATCTTGCTGGGAGGTTATTTCATAGATGTGATTAACACTGACAGTCAATTGACTTTAAGTAAAACAGATCACCCACCATAATATGGGTGGGCCACCTCCAATCAGTTGAAGGCCTTAAGAACAAAAACTGAGGTTTCCCAGAGAAGCAGGAATTCTGCTTCAAGACTGTAACACACAAACCCTGCCTGAGTTTCTGGCCTGCTGACTGCTCTACAGATTTTAGGTTCCAGACTTCGAGATCAACTCTTACCTGAATTTATAGCCTGCTGGTTTGCCCTACAGATTTTAAACTTGCTAGTCCCCACAATTATGTAAGCCAATTCCTAAATAAATCTCTCTATGTATAACCTATTGGTTTAGCTTCTCTGAAAAGCTTTCACATCCAGTTTCCTGGATGTTAAGAATTACTGAAACTAGCTAGTAACTTACTTTTTTTTTTTTTTTTTTTGAGACAGAGTTTTGGTCTTGTTGCCCAGGCTGGAATGCAATGGCACAATCTCAGCTCACCTCAACCTCCACTTCCTGGGTCCAAGCAATTCTCTTCCCTCAGCCTCCTGAGTAGCTGGGATTACAGGCATATGCCACCATGCTTGGCTAATTTTTGTATTTTTAGTAGAGACACGGCTTCTCCATGTTGGTCAGGCTGGTCTTGAACTCCCAACCTCAGGTGATCCGCCGCCTTGGCCTCACAAAGTGCCTCACATGAGCCACCACGCCTGGCTCCTAGTAAATTCTTCTTTTCCGTGATGTGTCTCTTACCTCTAATAATACTTTTCTTCTTAAAGTCTACTTCATTAAAAATAGTTATGCTGGGCATGGTGGCTCATGGCTGTAATCTCGGCACTTTGTTGGAGGTCGAGGTGGGTGGATCACTGAAGCCCAGGAGTTCAAGACCAGCCTGGGCAACATGGCGAGACCCTGCCTCTACAAAAAATACAAAAATTAGCTGGGTGTGGCTAATATAATTCTAAGTTGGCACACTTGTAGTCCCAGCTACTTGGGATGCTGAGGTGGGAGAATCGCTTGAGCCTAGAAGGGAGAGATTGCTGTAAGCCAAGATCACATCATTGCACTCCAGCCTGGGAGACAGTGAGGCTCTATCTCCAAAAAAAAAAAAAAAAAAAAAAAAAGTTATACAGCTTTCTTGGTTAGTACATGCATGACATATTTTTCATTATTTTCTACCTCTCTGTATCCTTATATAAAAGGCATTAGTTGGGTTTTACTTTATTTTCAATTATTTTAATTTTTATTGTCCTTTTAAATGTAACTAATGATTTATTTACGTTGAAACCCACCACCAATTTGTTTTCCATGCCTATTCTATTTCTTCTTATCTCCTCTCACATCTTGTTTTGGATTTATTATTTTTATTATTTAATTTCCTCCTTCTCTATTAGTTTCATAACTGTGCAGTCTTAGAGTTATTTTAAAAGATGACAGTGGATTATTTTAGAGCTTACAACATGCATCCTTCACTTATCAAAGCCTAACATGAGCTAGTACTTTTTGTTGTGGTTGAGACAGAGAGAGTCTTCCTCTGCTGCCCAGGCTGGAGTGCAGTGGAGCAATCTTGGTTCACTGCAACCTCCACTTCTTGGGTTCAAGCAATTCTCCTGCTTCAGTCACCTGAGTAGCTGGGACCACAGGTGTGCACCACTATGCCCGGCTAATTTTTGTATTCTTTTTTAGTAGAGACAGGGTTTCACCATGTTGGCCAGGCTGGTCTTGAACTCCTGACCTTAAGAGATCTGCTTACCTCGGCGTCCTAAAGTGTTGGGATTACAGGCGTGAGCCACCACGCCCAGCCTATGAGTTAGTACTTCTATCCTCTTCCTAGTCAGTAGAAGAACCTTGGAACAGGAACTAAATTTACCCCCAGTGACTTATATGCTAATATTTTTGTGTATTTTAAACATATGTGTGTGCATAGATGTATCTGTGTGTTTTTTGTGTTTTTATTCTTATTTATGTTGAGAGTGTAGAGCTATGTAAGAGTAAAGAGAATTGTGTAATGAAGCCCCGAGTATCCATTCAATTTCAACAACAATCTTATGGCCAAGCTCATTTCATGTATACTCTTTCCTGCTTCCCTCTACCCCACATTATTTCAGTGCAAATCCCAGATATATAACTGTACCCATACATATTTCAGTATGTTTTATTTATTTTAAACCCCACAAGATATCATTTTCTATACTACTGTAATTTCATACCAATAACATTCATTTAGATTTACCCACACATCTACCTCTTCTGTTACCCTTTATTTTTATTTATAAAAATATCTTTGGGAAAAAATATCCTTCAGCACATGGTCAAGGATCTCCTGAGGGCTATGTCATGGACAAAATATACATATATATTCCATATATATACACACATATACACACACACATATATACACATACACACACACACACACACACACACACACACACACACATATATATTCCACTTTCACTTTTTTGTTTGTTTTTTGAGACCGAGTCTTGCTCTGTGGCCCAGGCTGGAGTGCAGTGGTGGGATCTCAGCTCACTGCAACTTCTACCTCCTGGGTTCAGGTGATTCTCCCGTCTCAGCCTCCTGAGTAGCTGGGATTACAGGTGTTAGCCATCACGTCTGGCTAATTTTTGTTTGTTTGTTTGTTTTTGAGACGGAGTATCACTCTGTTGCCCAGGCTGGAGTGCAGTGGCATGATCTCGGCTCACTGCAACCTCCATCTCCCTGGTTCAAGCAATTCCCCTGCCTCAGCCTTCCAAGGAGCTGGGATTACAGGTGCATGCCACCATGCCTGGATAATTTTTTTGTATTTGTAGTAGAGACCGGGTTTCCCTATGATGGTCAGACTAGTCTTGAACTTCTGACTTCAGGCAATCCGCCCACCTCGGCCTCTCAAAGTGCTGGGATTATAGGCATGAGCCACCGTGACTGGCCTGTTTTTTTTTTTTTTGAGATGGAGTTTTGCTCTGTCACCCTGGCTGGAGTGCAGTGGCAAGATCTTGGCTCACTGCAACCTCCACCTCTCGGGTTCAAGCAATTCTTGTGCCTCAGCCTCCTGAGTAGCTGGGATTACAGGCATCCACCACCACATCTGGCTAATTTGTGTATTTTTGGTAGAGATGGGGTTTCACCATGTTGGCCAGGCTGGTCTCGAACTTCTGACCTCAGGTGATCCACCTGCCTCGGCCTTCCAAAGTGCTGGGATTACAGGGAGGAGCCACCATGCCCAGCCATTTTCACTTTTGAAGGATATTGTTAGTGAGCATAGAATTC